>NC_000013.11:83604688-83757528 GCF_000001405.40 Homo sapiens
CACAGAAGTATACAATGGGAATATTTGCATCAATACTGAGGAAACAGACAGCGTAGCCACAAATCTACCTGAAATTCTATTATTAGGGGAGGAAGCTCTTCTAAACTTACGTGAGATAAACTACTTTTGTGAGCCTTAACTCTTTAAATATTACAGCTAGGTTAGTGGTGATGATTATTCTTCTCAGGACACATCCTACCGCTCCATGTTTTCTTTGTATCCATGAATTAATTTAGATACCCAACATATTCCATACGAAAATTATAAGGAATGTACATGGAGATAATAACTAGACATTAAAAAAATGACAGCCCTCACCAGATTGTCGAAGCAGAGAGCATACATGGTGATATAGTTTGAATGTGTGTCCCCTCCAACCCTTATATTGAAATGGGATCCCTAGTCTTGGAGGTGGATCCTAGTGGGAGATGTTTGGGTCATAGGGGCAGGTCCCTCATGAATGGCTTGGTGCTTAGCTCACAAAATGAGTGTGTTCTCTCTGTATTAGCTTACATGAGAGGTGGTTATTTGAAATCTCCTGGGACATCTTCCCCTCTCTCTTGTTCCCTCTTTCATCATGTGACATGCCTGCATCCCCTATCCTTCCACCTTGCTTGTAAGCTTTCTGGGGTCCTCACCAGGAACAGATGCCAACACTATACTTCTGCAGAACTGTGAGTCAAAATGAAACTATTTTCTTTATAAATTACCCTGCCTCAGATATTCCTTTATAGCAATGCTAAATGGACTAACACAGATAATTGGTACCAAGGAGTGGGGCATTGTTATAAAGATACCTGGAAATGTGGAAGAGGTTTTGCAACTGGGTAACGGGCAGAGGTTGGAAGAGTCAGGAGAAAAGACAGAAAGATGAGAGAAAGTTTGGAACTTCTTAGAGACTGGTTAAGTGATTATGACCAAAATGCTGATAGACATATGGACAGCCGGAATGACAAAGTCTCAGATGATATTAAGGAATTTATTGTGAACTGGAGCAAGGATTACCCTTGTTACACCTTAGCAAAGAACTTGTATGCATTCTGTCTATACCCTACAGATTTGTTGGACTTAACAATGATGACTTAGGTTATCTGGCAGAAGAAACTTCTAAGCAGCAAAGCATTCAAGAAGTAATGTAGCTGCTTCTAACAACCTATAATGACATATGGGAGCAAAAGAATGACTTAACATTGGAACTTATAATTAAAAGGGAGGCAGAACATAAGCATTTGGGAAATACACAGCCCAGCCTTCTGGCAGAGAAGGAAAAAGGATTTTTCAGGGGAAAAATCCAAAGGAGATGAATCAAAGCAACTTGTGGAGCAATCACTTGCTAGAGAGACTAGCATGAGTAAAAAAAGAACCAGGTGTTAATATCGAAGACAATAGAAAAAAAAAATTCCTGGAAGGTCTTTCAGAAATCTTCCAGACCACGCCTCCAATTACAAGCTCAAGGGCCTAGAGGGAATGAATGGTTTGGGGGGCCAGGCCTGACACACCACCCTTTGCCACCTTGGGATGCTGCCCCCTGCATCCTGGCTGCTATAGGTGTGGTTCAGAGGGACCCAGATATTGCTTGGGCTACCACTTAGAAAAGTGCAAGCCATAAGCCTTGGTCCTTCCATGTAGTGTTAAGCCTGCAGGCATGCAGAATACAAGAGTAGAGGCAAATTGGCAGCTTCTACCTAGATTTCAGAAGCTGTAGGAAGGGGACCATTGCCCTCTGGACCCCAAGATGGTACAGCCACCAGCAGCTTGCAGTCTCAGCATGGAAAAGCCACAGGCACCAGATTCCAACTTGTGAGCACAAACATAAGAGCTATACCCAGCAAAGCCTTAGGGAAAGAGCTGCCTAGGCCTTGGGGACTCACTCCTCACACCAGCATGCCCAAGATGTGGGACATATAGTCAAGGATTATGTTGGAGCTTTGAGGTCTGCCCTGCTGAATTTTGAGCTGGTATGAGGGCTGTTGTCCCTATTTCTCCTTTTTGAATGGGAACATTGCCCAATGTGTGTACCACCATTGTATCTTCGAAGTAAGTAACTTGTTTTTGAACTTACAGTCTCATAGGTGGAAGAAACTGGGCCTGAGTCTCAAATAAGACATTGGACTTAGGACTTTTTAGTTAGTATTGGAACAAGTTAAGACTTTTGGGAAAATATTGAGAAGGTATCACTGTATTTTGCAGTGTCAAAGGACATTAGATTTGAGGGGCAAAGGGTGGAATAATACAGTTTGGATACATTTTCCCCTCCAAACCTCACGTTGAAATGTGACCCCAAATGTCAGCAATGAGGCCTAGAGGGAAGGATTTGGGTCATGGCGGTGGATCTCTCCTGAATGTTTTGGTGCTCTCCTCACAAGGTGAATGAGTTCTAAATCTATTGGTTCCTGCAAGAGCTGGTTTATTTAAAACAACCTGGTAATTCTTCCTCTCTCTTTGCTCTCTCTCCTGTCAGGTGACATGCCTGTTTTCTCTTCAACTTCTGCCATAATTATAAGCTTCCTGAGGTTTTCACCAAAAGCATACTCTGGTACTATGCTTCTTCTATAGTCTTCAGAACCAATAACCAAATTAAGCCTCTTTTCTTTACAAATTATTCACTCTCAGGTATTTCTTTATAGCAATGCAGAAGAGACTAATACACGGGATTAGATACTAAAGGTGTTATACCAAGGATGATAAACATAAGACTAAATACCAATGGTGCTATACCAAGAAGGAGACATATAAGAATCAAAAGGATTACTTTATTAATATAAAAGGGCTTTCTAGAAATTGAAATTTTACCATTTCGGCTCAAACCTAGAAAATAGTTTTAATAAGCTGCTAGAGAGAAAATCAATCTGGAGTCCATCATGGCCTACAGTTAATGAGCTTAAAATATCACTTCTCCTGGCACACAATAAAGGAAGACTTGATGGCTCAAAAGGATGAGAATGTTGGAATAGATCTACCCTGTAGAACTTTCTTAGCCACCATCTAAAAGTACTGTCTAAAGAGCTTTTCACAGATTTATTAACCAATGCATTGATGAGAGGAATGCAACATTATTATAGAGCTAGTTTTCTATGGCTCAAGCATAGTGAAATAAATATGGATGCTGAAATACATATGGACTGCTTGACATCAATAAAAATAGAAGACTCACAGAATAAGTAGAGGCTGTTATACTGTACAATTGTCTGAAATAAAATGGGTGCAATTAACATAATATGACACAGGAACAGAATGATAACTGGAGAGTTTTGTTCTATAAGGATCTCCGGCAATGGATTTTTAGGAAATGAAATACATGATCAGTCTACTAAGGTACTGCTTGACGTATATTGGCAAACATATATATACAAAGCAGACCGAGGGAGAGACCAGGTTATGTAGAGAAATGCCATTGCAAAATCGTCTCAGAGGTATACCATGAATCTTCCCTGAAATCCCTCCTCAGGAAGCTCTGCTTTCAATTACTGAAATAAAAATTCACTGGGAAGAGGAATATACCCAGATATCCTAGGAGTTATTATATCCTGGCTCTGAACTGATAGTAATCCCTGGTGATATGAAATTCTATCGTGGTCAACCAGAAAAAGTGGGTATTTCTGTGCATCACTTTATAAACGGTATATACTTTATTCTGTCTTACATTGGGTGCCTTGAGACATTGGATAAATCCTTTGAATATTTATCTTGTTCAAGTGTGTATAGGAGAAATAAATAAATATAGTAACACACAATTTCTCTACAAGGGTTTCCTAACATGTACAGCAAAGAATGATATGAAAGGAAAAACCAAGCACAGCTCATGGAACCATTCACCTCAAGATTTATTAAGAGAGTAAACACAGAACAGTAGCAAATCCATGGAGAAATTGTAGACATTAGTGATAACAGGAAATATTTTAAAAATGCATGTTTGGTGATTTCTCCACATTCTCCCTTGAAATCACCCATCTGACTGAGGCAAAGACAGATGGGTCATTGATAATGACAAATTATCAAAACCTTAATCAGATGATGATTGCAAATTAAGTGCCCTGTAATTTTAGTTCCTTTGCTGAAACAAATCAAGACAATTTCAGCAGCTGTTATGCAGCTATTTACCAAATTAAATGATCAGGGTGAAACTTTGTGAGATTAGGGAGCTCTCAGTTTAATGAATATCCTGAAGATTGTGCAATATTGAGAAACATAGAAGTTTCAACCAAGCAGATAGAGACATTACTGTACTCAACTAAGGATTCACAACTTGTGGGCAATTCTAGTTCTACAGTGAAGGCTATTTAAGATGCAGATAATCACTATTGAAAAACAGCCCTCAAGTAGAACAAGCTGATCCACTAGTAAATTTACTGTAGGAAAAAAAGCACAACAAAAATGAAAATGAACAACAAAAAATCCATCACATTCTAAAGCAAATCAACAAAATCCAGACATGCAGCAGTATAACAAAAAAAAAGTGAAATGTGAACCAGAAAAAAGATTAAAACAATAATCGAAACAAACTCAGAGATGACAGAGATGCTAAAATTTGCATACGAGGGATTAAAAAATTGTGATCGTCAATATTTAAAAATATATTTTGATCAACCAAATCTTCACAAAAAAATTTATTAACAAACTTTCACTCCTCCAAGAAATATTAAAGGACTATTTTCAGAGGAAGGAACATGATACAGAAGGAAAGCTGGTTGTGTATAAAGAAGGAAGAGCACTAAAAATTGTAAATATATGAGTAAACACAAAAGAGATTTTACCATAAATCCTTACTTTTCAAAAATATAATTATCTGCTTAAAGCACAAATACTAACAATGGATTGTGGGGCTCATTCCATATGCAGAAACAAAATGTATGACAAAAATTATACAAAGAAGAAGCAGGATTAGCAGGAGTATGAGGGGTTTACATTATCACATTGCATGTGAAGTGGTACAATATTATTCTTGGTAGACAGGATGAGTCTAGCATGCATATTTCAATTCCCTGACTAACCAATTAGAAATAAATAAATAAAACAAAATGTATATCTGATATGCAAATAGAAGAGACAAAGTGAATATGAAATGAAATCAGTCTAGCAGAACAGAAGGAAAAGAATAGTGAAAGATAAATAAAAACTAGCAGGATTGAAGAATCAATTCTGATAAGATTGATAATATGTTAAATTTAAAAAATTAAATATTTAATTTAACTGAGATAAGAGATGTTGCACTTGCACATGTACAAAGGGAAACAGTACTTTGTGGATCACCTTCGACTATGGAGGCAATACTTCCTATATCTGGGCATCCTGTTATGACCCTTTTACTGGATTAATTCAAAGTAGTCATGTCTGCAGAAAATCCATGTTGTTATGTGAGATATTTTGTCATTTGTTCCTTACAATGTAACAAACTCCATTAAATTTGAGTGCTTCCGCAAACAAAGGTGTTATATGGAGCTCTGGCAAGCCCCAAGAGAATAATTATAGTGAAGGTGTGGGATTTAGGGTAATGCCAGAACATCTAGTGCTAATAATTAGTACTCATTTTTAAATCAGTTCCTGGAAATTCTTTTAGCCATTATTGTACTTGACTTGCCCTGTTGCTGAAAACATCTAAGAAACTGGACAAAAATGTTTTCAAATATGGTGTAAAGGGCAGTGACAATTTTTGATCCTTAAGAAAAAGAAAATAACTGAAGTAAGTCACAAGAACCTCTGATTCTTCTACCTAGGAATATTTTCCAGTTATGCCTGAGGGAACTAGAGCAAAGCCAAGGCAGAAGGACTGCTTGGGCCCAGGTGTTCAAGACCAGCCTGGGAAAGATAGAAAGACTCTGTCTCTACTAAAAATAATTAATAATAAAAATAATAATTAGCCAGGCATAGCAGTGCACACTTGTGGTCCCAGCTTCTCAGGAGGCTGAGTTGGATTGCTTGGACCCAGGAGGTCAAGTCTGCAAAGAGCCAGGATTGTGCCACTGCACTCCAGCCTGGGTGATAGAATGAGACTCTGTATTTGTCCATCTTCATGCTACTGATAAAGACATACCAGAGACTTGGCAATTTAAAAAGGAAAGAGGTTCAATTGGACTTACAGTTCCACATGGCTGGGGAGGCCTCACAATCATGGTGGAAGGCAAGGAGGAGCAAGTCACATCTTGCTTGGATAGCAGCAGGCAAAAAAAAAGAGCTAGTGAAGGAAAAATCCCATTTTAAAAACCATCAGATCTCATGAGACTCATTCACTATCATGAGAACAGTGAGGGAAAGACCCACCCCCATCATTCAATCAGTTCCCACTGTGTTCCTCCCGTGGCACATAGGAATTCTGGGAGTTACAATTCAAGATGAGATTTGAGTGGGTACACAGCCAAACCATATCATTTGACCCCTGGCCCCTCCCAAATCTCATGTCTTCACATTTCAAAACACAGTCATGCCTTCCCAACAGTCCCGCAAAGTCTTAAATCATTTCAGCATTAACTCAAAAGTCCACAGCCCAAAATCTCATCCAAGACAAGGCAAGTCCCTTCTGCCTATGAGCCTGTAAAATCAAAAGCAAGTTAGTTACTTCCTAGATAGAGTGAGGGTACAGGCATTGGGTAAATGCAGCCGTTCAAAATGGGAGAAACTGGCCAAAACAAAGGGACTACAGTCCCCATGCAAGTCTGAAATCCAACAGGGCAGTCAAATCTTAAAGGTCCAAAATGATCTCCTTTGACTCCATGTCTCACATTCATTCAGGTCACACTGATACAAGGGATGGGTTCCCATGTTCTTGAGCCATTCCACTCCTGTGACTTTGCAGGGCACAACCTCCCCCTGGCTGCTTTCATGGACTGGCATTGAGTGTCTGTGGCTTTTCCAAGCACATGATGCAAGCTGTCAGTGGATCTGCCATTCTGGGCTCTGGAGGATAGTGGCCCTCTTCTCACAGCTCTACTAGGTGGTGCTCCAGAGGGGACTCTGTATGGGGGCTCTGCCCCCACATTTCCTTTTCTCACTGCCCTAGCAGAGATTTTCCATAAGGGTTCCACCCCTGCAGCTAACTTTTACCTGAGAATCCAGGCATTTCCATACGTACCCTGAAATCTAGGCAGAGGTTCCTAAACCTCAATTTGTTGACCTCTGTGTACTTCCATGCTCAACACCACATGGAAGCTGCCAAAGCTTTGGGCTTGCACCCTCCGAAGCCACAGCCTGAGCTCTACCTTGGACCCTTTCAGCCACAGCTGAAGCAGCTGAGAGTCAGGGCACCAAGTCCCTAGGCTGCACACAGCATGGTGACCCTGTGCCCAGCCCACAGAACCACTTTTTCCTCCTAGGCCTCTGGGCCTATGATGGGAGGGGCTGCTGTGAAGACCTCTGACATGCCCTGGAGACATTTTCCCAATTATCTTGGGGATTAACATTCGGCTTTTCTTTGCTTATGGAAATTTCTGCAGCTGGCTTGAATTTCTTCTCTGAAAATGGGATTTTCTTCTCCATCCCATTGTCAGGCTGCAAATTTTCCAAATTTTTATGCCCTGCTTCCCTTATGAAACTGAATGCCTTTAACAGCACCCAAGTTAAATCTTGAATGCTTTTCTGCTTAGGATTTCTTCCAACAGGTACCCTAAATCATCTCTCTTAAGTTCAAAGTTCCACAAATCTCTAGGGCAGGGGCAAAATGCCACCAGTCTCTGCTGAAACATAACAAGAGTCATCTTTGCTTCAGTTCCCAAAAGTTCTTCATCTCCATCTGAGACCACCTTAGCCTGGACCTTATTGTTCATATCACTATCAGCATTTTTGTCAAAGTCATTCAACAAGTCTCTAGGAAGTTCCAAACTTTCCCACATTTTCCTGTCTTCTGACCCCTCCAATCTGTTCCAACCTTTACCTGTTACCCAGTTCCAAAGTCGTTTCCACATTTTCAGGTATCTTTTCAGCAATGCCCCACTCCGCTAGTACCAATTTACTGTATTAGTCCGTTTTCATGCTGCTAATGAAGACATGCCAGAGATTGTGCAATTTAAAAAAGAGAGAGGTTTAACTGGACTTACAGTTCCACATGGCTGGGAAGGCTTCACAATCATGGTGGCAGGCAAGGAGGAGCAAGTCACATCTTACATGGATGGCGGTGTGTCCGGAATTGGTGGGTTCTCGGTCTCACTGACTTCAAGAATGAGGCCGTGGACCCTCACAGTGAGTGTTACAATTCTTAAAGATGGTGTGTCCAGAGTTTGTTCCTCAGATGTTCAGATGTGTCCGGAGTTTCTTCCTTCCAGTGGGTTCGTGGTCTCGCTGGCCTCAGGAGTGAAACTGCAGACCTTCGCGGTGAGTGTTACAGTTCATAAAGGTGACACGTCTGGAGCTGTTCGTTCCTCCCATCCAGAATTGTTTGTCCCTCCCAGTGGGTTCATGGTCTCACTGGCTTCAGGAGTGAAGCTGCAGACCTTCGTCGTGAGTGTTACAGCTCATAAAGTCAGCACGGACCCAAAGAGTGAGCAGCAGCAAGATTTATTGTGAAGAGCAAAAGAACAAAGCTTCCACAACGTGGAAGGGGACCCAAGCAGGTTGCTGCTGCTGGCTCAGGTGGCCTGCTGGCTCCAGGGCCCTTATCTGGCCCTTATCTGGCCCCACCCACATCCTGCTGATTGGTCCATTTTACAGAGAGTTGATTGATCTGTTTTACAGAGAGCTGATTGGTCCGTTTTGACAGAGCGCTGATTGGTGCATTTACAAACCTTTAGCTAGACAGAGTGTTGATTGGTGTGTTTACAATCCTTTAGCTAGACACAAAAGTTCTCCAAGTCCCCACCAGATTAGCTAGACACAGAGCGCTGATTGGAGCATTTACAAACCTTTAGCTAGACAGAAAAGTTCTACAGGTCCCCACCTGACACAGAAGCCCATCCGGCTTCACCTCTCAATGGCACTCGCTGCAGGACTTTGGGCACCTAGCCCAGGCACTCCAGTAGCCCAGAGGGAACTCGTCCCCTGATCAAGCCCAGCAGGTGCCGGCCAGCCGTGCCTAGTGCAGGGCCCGCCAAGCCCACGCCCACCTGGAACCCATGCCGGCCCACGAGCGCCTTGGGCAGCCCCGGCTCCCACCCCCGCCTCTCCCTCCACACCTCCCTGCTAGCGGAGGGAGCCAGCTCCAGCCTCAGCCAGCCCCAGAGAGGGGCTCCCACAGCGCAGTGGCAGGCTGAAGGGCTCCTTGAGTGCGGCCAGAGTGGACACCAAGGCCGAGCAGGTGCTGGGAGCCAGCGAGGGCTGCTAGCATGTTGTCACCTCTGAGCGTCAGGCAAAAAAAGAGCACTTGTGCTGGGAAACTCCCATTTTTATTTTATTTTATTTTATTTATTTATTTTTATTTATTTATTTATTTTCTATTATACTTTAAGTTCTAGGGTACAAAACGTGCAGGTTTGTTACATATGTACACATGTGCCATGTTGGTGTGCTGCACCCATTAACTCATCATTTACATTAGGTATATCTCCTAATGCTATCCCTCCCCCCTCCCCTCACCCCATGCCAGGCCCCAGTGTGTGATATTCCCCTTCCTGTGTCCAGGTGTTCTCATTGTTCGATTCCCACCTATGAGTGAGAACATGTGGTGTTTGGTTTTTTGTTTTTGCGATAGTTTTCTGAGAATGTTGGTTTCCAGCTTCATCCATGTCCCTACAAAGGACGTGAACTCGTCCTTTTTTATGGCTGCATAGTATTCCATGGTGTATATGTGCTACATTTTCTTAATCCAGTGGATTTTGGGTTGGTTCCAAGTCTTTGCTATTGTGAATAGTGCCGCAATAAACATACATGTGCATGTGTCTTTAAAGCAGCATGTTATAAATGTGAGACCTAAAACCATAAAAACCCTAGAAGAAAACCTAGGCAATACCATTCAGGACATAGGCATGGGCAAGGACTTCATGTCTAAAACTCCAAAAGCAATGGCAACAAAAGCCAAAATTGACAAATGGGATCTCATTAAACTAAAGAGCTTCTGCACAGCAAAAGCAACTACCATCAGAGTGAACAGGCAACCTACAGAATGGGAGAAAATTTTTGCAAGCTACTCATCTGACAAAGGGCTAATATCCAGAATCTACAAAGAACTCAAACACACTTACAAGGAAAAAACAACCCCATCAAAAAGTGGGCGAAGGGTATGAACAGACACTTCTCAAAATAAAACATTTATGCAACCAACAGACACATGAAAAAATGCTCATCATCACTGGCCATCAGAGAAATGCAAATCAAAACTGGTGAGATACCATCTCACACCAGTTAGAATGGCGATCACGAAAAAGTCAGGAAACAACAGGTGCTGGGGAGGATGTGGAGAAATAGGAACACTTTTACACTGTTGGTGGGACTGTAAACTAGTTCAACCATTGTGGAAGACAGTATGGCGATTCCTCAGGGATCTAGAACTAGAAATACCATTTGAGCCAGCCATCCCATTACTGGAAACTCCCATTTTTAAAACCATCAGATCTCATGTGACTCATTCACTATCACAAGAACAGTGCAGGAAAGACCTGCCGCCATACTTCAATCACTTGTCACTGGGTTCCTCCCACAACAGGTGTGAATTGTGGGAGTTACAATTTAAGATGAGATTTAGGTGGGGACACAGACAAACCATATCAGACCCTGTCTCAAAAATGAAGTAAATTTTAAGTTGAACCATTGTAAGTCAGGGACTCTGTGTGTGTGTGTGAGTGTGTGTGTGCTTTTATAATTATGCTTCATGATTTAAAAAGATGTTCATAATGAGTGACCAGTTAAAAATTAAAATGATGGAAAACATTAGGAATTCAAAAGAAGAAAAATATAATATACAAAATTAAATTAACTGTCAGCTGACATTTACAGTAGCTTTAAAACTGCAGGAAAATAAAAGGTGATTTAACTGGTAGGTAGACCAGTATAAAACTACCCTGTCTGAAAACTTGAAGAGAAAGCCTGAAAAAAAATATGAAAAGAGATATTTTTGCTGTAGGGAAAGATAAAGTACTTTAACATTTATGCAAATTGTGGCTGGGCACAGTGGCTCATGCCTGTAATCCCAGCACTTTGGGTGGCCGAGGCGGGTGGATCACCTGAGGTCAGCAGTTTGAAATCAGCCTGGCCAATATGGTGAAACCCGTCTCTACTAAAAATACAAAAATCAGCATGGTGTGGTGGCACACACCTGTAATCCCAGCTACTTGGGAGGCTGAGGCAGGAGAATTGCTTGAACCTAGGAGGTGGCGGCTGCAGTGAGCCAAGATCTCCCCACTGCACTCCAGCCTGGGCGACAGACAGAGACTCCATCTCAAAAAAAAATGCAATTTGAATGCCAGAAAAATATGAAAGTATAATAGGGACAGTAAATGCATCTGAAAAAAAGGTCACATTTTCTTCTGAATTTGATGAAAATCACCAGTTTACATGTTGGCGAAGGGCAAAAAAGCTAACCATACAAAGGAAATTCTGCCTAGGCACATCATAAGCTTATTGATAGAAAATAAAAATAAGTCTAAAATCTTTAAAGCAGCCTGGGGATGATGGGAAATTGTTAGTTTTAAATAATTATCTTTATTTTTTTCTGAATGTATATTTTTTCCTGTCAATTATTACTCATGTGATAATTGTTCTGGCATACCATACACTGGTTCTTATGCCTAGGGAAAAACAATATGAACTAGTTGTCACACTGTACATGAAAGAGTCTGTCACATAGGTGATGAATGGTGAAAAAATGAATCTTGGTATTTTTAATAGAAGAAAGAGACAGATACCCCCTCCTCTTGAAACAAAGGGGAAAAATATTTGCCCCTTGGAGATAAGATGGAAAGAATCTCATTTTCTCACTCTAACATTTCTGGAATGTAAACATATCTTTTGAAGGGCCAAATAATTTTAGTATCTCCAGATTTACAATTTAGAAATAGGTCCTGAATTTTATCCTATCTTAAAATGTTAACAGATACCTCTGGAGCTTGATAACTCTTACTTGAGCTCTCAATATATATATAGCTGTCAATTTTCTTCTAGTGCTTGCTTTTATGACAGAATCCAATGTTTTAGGAAAAAAAATCTTTTAAAAATTCCTAAATGTGCAGAAACACAAAGATAATTTCTTTAAATGCCAAAGAAATAGTACAATTGATACTCATCAAAATGAATGAATGTCAAAAGGTAATAGAATGATATTTTTACATAATAAACAAAAGTCAGTGTAATATTGTATGTTAAGTAAAAATTATGAATGTAAAATATATGTATTTTCAAATCAGCCAAAGCTGAGACTTTTCACCTGCATATCTACACAAGAAATTCTAAACTAAGTTCTATAGGATGAAGTAAAGTCATATTGCAATTCTGAACCATGGAAGGAATGATGAGCAATCACTTTGAAATAACTGACTAATACAAAAACAATAACACTGTGTTGTTGAGTTTAATGTGGATGTAGAAGTACATAAAATTACAACCATAATAGATTGTAGTAATTTAAGCGTGAATATTATAATTCACAGAACAATTGCTAATTTAATAATACAGAATATTTTGTTTTATGAAACCAATTTAACATTATAAATGGAATACTGAAGATATTTAAATAATTAAAAGGACATAACTAGACAGAAGGAAAATTGATTTAAAAAGAAATGGGACAAAAATAAAATAAAAGGCAATCATATGATGATTACATTAACTGTGAGTGTACTAAAAATTCTTAAATAGTCAAACATTATTACACTAAGTAAAAGGGTATGATCTAATTGTATTCTGTCTTACAGAGACTAATAAAAAGATAGTCTAGAAGGAAAAGTGTAAGGAAAACATGTATCATGGAAAGGGTAGCAGAAGGAATTTGGTGTGGCTATATTAATAGACACATTGGACATCAAGTGTATTATGAGACAAAGAACATTTTATAATGATATAAAGAGTTGATTCACCAGGAAAATATAACAGTCCTAAATATGTATCTACATATCAGAGTTTTTAAAATATTGAGATAAAAACTGACAAAGCTAAATTGATAAACATAAAAATTCACAATCACAGCTAGAGATTTTAACATTTCTGTCTCAATAATTCATGGAACAACTAGATCAAGAATAAATGAATAATTGCAGAGAAGATTTGAACACTATTAATCAACTTGACCTAATTTTTTTAAAGTACATATAAAACCACAGAATTTACATTATTTTGAGTGTTCATAGATGATTCTCCAAGAAAGATCACATAATGGGGCTAATAATGGGTTTTGAAAATTTCATGAACTTTCAATCTTACCATTTTTTTCAGAAAAAAATATTAAATTTAGACTCATACTTTAGGAGTGAAGATTACCTGATGACTACATCAGATCAAAAACCATTTCATCCATATTGTTTTAAAGATTGTAAGGTGAACAGAAATTGGATGATGTAACAAAGGAGGCATAATTAAAAATGTAGGCTTCATGACTTTTTGTAAAAGAGGGATATTAATGAGTGTGGTATTATATTTTTGTGTTTTTACTTTGCATTGATTTTATTTCTAATAAAGTTCACCAACACTTTAATAATTTTTATTAATTCATTTTTTCTCATATTCACTGTCAGTTGCATACCAGGTAATGTAATTTACTCTTTTTCTTTTTTTTTTTTTTTTTTTTTGAGACATAGTCTTGCTCTGTTGCCCAGGCTGGAGTGCTGTGGCATGATCTCAGTTGACTGCAACGCCTCTGCCTCCTGGGTTCAAGCAATTCTCCTGCCTCAGCCTCCTGAGTAGTTGGGATTACAGGGACATGCCACCACACCCAGCTAATTTTTTTATTTTTAGTAGAGATGGAGTTTCACCATATTGGTCAGGCTAGTCTTGAACTCCTGACCTCATAATCTGCCCATCTTGACCTCCCAAAGTGCTGGGATTACAGGTGTGAGCCACCACGCCCTGCTTATTTTACTTTTCACCCTGCAGGAAAATTTATATATATTAGTTTCTTGCCTTTAGAAGTTTTCCATATTAAAATATTTTTCCTATTTGTATTGTACTGTGACTTTTGAGATAGAGAAATATTTCAATTCAGTGTAGTTGCATGTATAATAGTTTCTTTTATGTTTGTCTATTTTCAGTTATTTGAAGAAATTTTAAGCAACTTGAATATGATAAGCCTATTATCCTATATTCTGTGCTAAAACTTTTAAAGTTTTACTTTCAAAATGTCAACACGTGGCAGGGATCATTTGGTGCGTGATTGTTTTATACGTAATTCTGTGTATGTGTGTATGATATAATGTAGCCCATCTTTTTCACCACCAAATTGCAATGTCAGTGCTGCCAAATACAAAGCAACTGTACACATTTGGCACAGTACTATTTTTCAACAATTATGGTCATTCTTATTTTAATTATATCATTTTTATATATACCTAATGATGAGTAATTTCCTAAATTGAGGCTTTTATGACTTTTCTAATGACTCATATTTATATTGTCAGTACCCCCTTCACTTGTGTTTGAATTGGCTGGCTCTAGTGCATTTCAACAGCTCCTTTCATGTGCTGACAGCTGAAAAATTCTCCAATTAGAAGCTCAAATATATAAGAACTTGACCAAAAGGGTGAAAGAAAACTGAAGAGGGGAAAGTCATTTCTCTGTGGACATAAAGGTGCATGGTTTATAAAAACCTGTATCTATGTATATATTCAAAAGATCATTTAAAGCACATTTAGAGTGAAATGCCTATATATAAATATGATAATTTCTACAAAAGATCAAATTGTATTTTTTTAAACTAAGAATATAACAAAACTAGATAATCTAGGTCATTTCAGGAAGATTTAGGTTAGTAAATTTGAATGGTGTATATATCACTTTTTAGAAAATTTATATAACATTTTAAATGTGAAGACTTTTCTAAATAATACAGTATTTTAATAATGGTTATAAGCAACTAAAGAGATTGAATACTAAATTCTATCATTCATTAAAACTTGCTGCAAAGGTATATTTAGAAATAACACATTTCAACCCTTCAGTAGAGTCCTAAAATTAGCCCACTGCGTTTTAGAGGTAGAGCAAAGCCCAAGATAAATACAGTGTTGAGATCAAATGAAACCATTAACAGTCGCTATAAGGAAATGCAAAATTACACTTTGGGAGTAGGGGACTGATAAGAGAAACTTTGGATTGAAAAAGCTAAATTTAGATGAGAAAGAAATAGCTAGATCATTGACCCAGAAGAACTGAACACTAAATATATTATTTCATTCACAATAGGGAAACATGTGCTTAAAAGAATTACAGCTCAATTTCCTCCAAAAAAAAAAAAAAAAAACTATTTCCCAAAGTAGAAAATGATACTGCTTGATTATTTCTTTTCTTTTTCTTTTTCTTTATTTTATTTTTTTTTTTTTTTGAGATGGAGTCTCTCTCTGTCGCCCAGGCTGGAGTTCAGTGGTGCTATCTCGGCTCATTGCAACCTCCACCTCCTGGGTTCAAGTGATTCTCCTGCCTCAGCCTCCTGAGTAGCTGGGATTACAGGGGCCTGCCACCACACCCAGCTAATTTTTGTATTTGCAGTAGAGATGGGGTTTCACCATGTTGGCCATGCTGGTCTCTAACTCCTGACCTCAGGTGATCTGCCTGCCTCGGCCTCCCAAAATGCTGGGATTACAGGTGTAAGCCACCACGCCCAGCAACTGCTTGATTATTTCTAACAAAAGATGGGAGGACAAGGAAATTAGCGAAGAAAAAGGATGAGCCTTTTGCTGAAAGTGGCTAATGTTAATGGAAAATGTATATGAAAGATAAATCTTTGACTAACATTTCAATGTCACATTTTGATTCTACTATTAAGGACTATTATTATTTTTGCTAGCATGTACTAAGTGTGTTAAATATTTGCATAGATCATTTTAATTAATTTAAAAAATTCACTGGTCATGTAGCATTAGCATATTACATAGAAATTGTAATTCAGGTTTAAGAAGGGTTGTTTTTCACTTAGGGAAAATATTGCAAAAGTAGTGAATTCTGAATTCAGATCCAGGCAGAATGACTCAAGAACCTGATCCTGACTCAAGAGTCTGACTCAGACTGACTTTGAAATATTACACCACTTTGAACTTTCTTTTTCCTAAGGAATCATTATGGCAATATTTAATATTTATAGGTGAACAATGGAGGAAAATATAATCAAATTTTTCAAAAACTATTAAATACTGACTCTGAGCTAACACTAGTTTCTATGAACCTTACCTAAATTACCACTTTGATCTGTCAAACTGAGTAAGAGTTTAATGGGTGCCAGGTGATAAAAGATGTTCTAACACAATTTGCCTCATGTTGGAAGCAGTAGAATTTTAGAAGCACTCTGATTATTTCTCCAACTGCTGGCATTACATTGGAATTCAAGTGGCCAAATTCCATATTACCTCCCACCCTATTGCACAAGGGTTGTTTTAATTGAATGTTCTACATGAAAAGTATTGGAACTCCAATTTACTATGGAAATAATAAATAAAAATTAAATTCTGCACCCTGGAGATATTATAAGTATTTGTACTTCCACAAAAAATTCAAAGATGTATGTGAGGTTATTCCTATCACATAGTCATATATTTATTTTTAAACTTTTAAGTAGAAAATACTGATACATAAGTAGAATATGATAAATTAATGAAAATAATATTGACCACTCACATTTCATTTGCTGATCTAAATTTAATTAACTACTGGCACTGGGTTTGAGTCTATTGATGTTAATAAATGTTTATCTTTTGGGGGAAAAGGGACTACCAAAGTTTTTGCATAGTAAAAACATCAGTACATATTTTCTTATTCTTTTATTATTATGATAACTTTCCTATTCTCTAATTCACCATGTTAGTTTGTAAAATTCTTAACACCTTCCCTTTTCCAAATATATTGTCATATGTTTTTGGCAATGTGTATTTAGAAAAGTAGGTGGCTTGGATTTCTTGATATGGCATTGATAGGGACAGGAAGCAGAAAAGTTCTAGGCAAGCAGGGGCGGGTCCCTGACAAAACCCCACCCTCAAGCCAAAAAGTCTGAAACTGCAGCCCAAAGTGAGAACTTATAACCCTGTTTTCCTACCCGAATGTTGCCTTTTCCTGAACAACCCATGGCCCCACCTCACCCCATCCTGTGCCCATAAAGGCCCCAGACTCAGCCAGCAGAAAGGAGAAGAAACTGGACATCAGGGACTATGACTGGACATCAGAGAGAAGTGGCTTGACTTCAGAGGGACAGCTTGATGGCATAACTTCAGAGAAGAATCCAGCCGGAGATGGCAGAACTTCAGAGGAAGATTACCTCCCCGCCCTATTCCCTTTTTAGCTCCCCTTCCTGCTGAGAGCCACTTTCATCAGCAATAAAATCCTCCTCGTTTACCATCCTTCAATTTGTTCCTGCGACCTCATTTTTCCTGGATGCTGGACAAGAACTTGGGAGCCATGAGTGTGGACACACAAGTTTGTCGCACTGGCCCTTTGTCCTCACTGGTGGAGGGTGGCCACCTCACATAAAAAGGCAAAGGGCCCATTAAGCTATTAATACTGAAGCTGTCCATAGATGACAGGGTTAAAAGAGCACTGTAACACACCCTCTGAGGCTTTGGGAGTCGGAGTCACCCTGCCTGGATGCTGCTGCGGGGTCTGCATGGAGTTCGCTCCTGCCAGTGCCCAAAAGTGTTCACTCTGGCTCTTGCACCCGCTCACCTGTGCACTCCCTCCTGTGAGGGGTGGAACACAGCAGGTCTGTGCAAGTGAAGTTTGATTCCACTGCACTGAAGCGGCTGGCCTATTACAGGGCTTGTGCACTCCAGCTCCTGTCTAGTTTGCTTGCACACTTCCTCCTGCAAGGAGTTCATAGCAATAGGCTGAGTAAATGAGGCACCCAGTCACGAGTCTCATGAAGGAGTCAGGGGATTGTCCTGCTTCAACATGTATCAGAGGAGCAGGAGAGACATCCAATATAAATACAGAGGAAGTTCCTGGGGATCTTGTGGCCTGGGTAAAATACAGATAAAGACTTCAAAATGAAAACAAATAGTTGCTGTAATCTGTGCTCCCTATCCTTGTAAAGGATACACACTCCTTTTAAGTTCCATTTTGATTATTTGAAGTTCCATTTAATACACTTAGATTCCTCATTAATCCTTATGTGTCAAGTTAATCAAAAACTCAACTTTTTGTGGGCCCTTGAATAATTGAAGGCTGGAAATATGTAGTAGGATAAGAAGGTAGAATTCTGGGGATAGTGTTCACTGAAATAGAGGATTCAGGAAATAAATTCAAGATCAAAAATGATTTGATTTTGGAAGTTCACATTTTGAGTAAAACTGAGATATTCAAGAAGAGATATGTGGATGGAACCCTTTGATTTAGCATCATACATGTCTCAAAAGACTTTGAAGCCATGGTTCAAAATGAAATCTCTAGCAGTAAGTGTGTGAAGGAAAAATTAGAGAGGATGAGGAATAGAAACTTCGATTGGGTAAGTAGAAACAGAAAATCAGTTTGAATGTTGAAAAAAATTTGACAATATGGAGGCATTAGTAGAGCAAGGCAGGCTTCTAGATTGTATCAGATATTACACAGAAATAGAGTAAGATTGATGTGAATCAACTGGGTTGTCAAATTTAACTCACTGGTAGAGTTTCTGTTTTTTTAGTACAAATAGTAGATTATGGCTGACTGACATTCCCAGTAAAGACTGTGGGAAAAGCTAGGAAAATACTAAAATAATTTAATTAAACTCATCAGATAATTATAGATGCAAACAAGTTTATGTTGACAAAATTTCAGACAATACTTCTCAAAAGTTAGCTAATGATTCAGACCCTTTTTCCCCAGAGTATTTCTTATTATGGGTATAGGTTCAAGGCTAAGGATTGAAGTTTGGCTAAGCATTGAGATTCAGCTCAGGCAGAGCATGAGCACCCTGCTGACAGAAAGATTTGCCACCAAATCTTGTATTGGTTGTGGAGAACCAGAGTGACAAAACTGAAGACCTGGTAATCCTCAAACACATGGTGGTTTTCTCTAAAAATATTTATTGATGTCTGACTGCATAAGAGGTTAGAATCTGGGTTGAAAGTTTCTTTGAAGTAGCTTGTGATCTTCTAGAGTCTCAAGAATTTAGGAAACAAAGAATTTCCAAGGACCAGCCAGGCACAGTGGCTCACACCTATAATCCCAGCACTTTGGGAGGCCAAGGCGGCAGATCACAAGGTCAGGAGATCGAGACCACAGTGAAATCCCGTCTCTACTAAAAATACAAAAAATTAGCCAGGTGTGGTGGTGGGCGCCTGTAGTCCCAGCTACTTGAGAGGCTGAGGCAGGAGAATGGTGTGAACCTGGGAGGCAGAGCTTGCAGTGAGCCGAGATGGCGCCACTGCACTCCAGCCTGGGCGACAGAGTGAGACTTCGTCTCAAGAAAAAAATAATAATAATAAAAAATAAAAAAGAATTTCCAAGGACCAAAACCTGAAGATAAAACAGACATGATGTGAAAATTATAGAGAGAGAAAATCTAAACGACAATGAGATTCCTTAGAACTAAAGGCTTAGACTTTGGACTTGAACTTCTGAGTGACCTAAGAACTTAACAATTATTTTACCATTTGCACAGAACTGGAATGAAGTGGGGCCAACTTCTTTCTCATGGCACTTGCCAGTTTTGAAGCTGGATGTGAACAAAAGCTACATAGTTAATATTTAAGTGCAAAAATAAATTTCCTTCATCATTCAGGACTAAGTAGATGAGACCTCCAGGCTCTCAACTGAAAGACTTGCAGAAACACACTTCACTAACAAGAATAATTCTTGTGAAACCAACCCACATCTAAATTTCATCCAGCTCTCAACCAGCATAATTCCTGATCAGAATTAGAGATGTTATAACGCCTTTCTTATTCCCTTGAGGAAGAAGAACTCAGTGTCTCTCTTTTAGAAGACAATATCGTTTACAACAGGGTCTTTTCAGTTCTTTAATGCACAGGATGTGCCTTTTCTGTATATTCTGATTTTATAACTTGGGACTTCAAACTTGATACAAAGTAGGGTGTTTGTAGGCTGGACATAATATGAGAAATTATATTTTTGAGCCTGAGGAGGGGGGATTTAATTGAAACGCTACAATGTTGGTGCCCATTCTTTTGAAAAGACATTTTGAAGAGACATCTATAATAGTTCCTTGCATAGTTGGTTAATGAAATTTTGATCTGTTTTCTTGTATGAGGGCTTCCAAAGTTTATTGCCAATTAGTTCAATAATATTAGGTATCCATTTTAATTCATGTGATGGACAAAATAATAAACAAACAAGACCTTTGTGTAGGTAGACATATGGAACCTGTAGAACAGTTAAAGTGTGCCATCCTTGTAAGGATATATATTCTTATCAAAAGATAGGAAGGAATAGTTAAAATGAGAAAATTTTATTATTGTTTTCTGAATGAGAAAATCATCTGTAATGATTTTGAAAAGGGTGAAAGGGGTGAAAAATAATCTTTTTTTCAAGCTCTTCAAGGCAAGTTATTCAACGCTGTTCTTAGGTTTGAAACAACTTCGTGGGAAGTAGATGATGAGAGGTTGTCACAATTTATAGGAAGCAAAGAAAATTTGCTGTGGACTTTAATGTTTTTACAGGACCATAAAGACTAGTCAAGTTTATACAGTATGATTTTACTGTCACAGTCATTCGTACAGGCTTCCAGAGTCAGGACTGCAGGACATACAGCTATCCACACGTGCAGAACAGATTTCTGTATTTCTTAAGTTCTTGGTGTTTTCACAGAAAGATTGTGTTTAGGCTTTTTCTAGTGATGTTTCTTGATTCCCAGAAATTTATAAGGTGTTTTTGATTGAGCAGGATTCTTAATTTAAATGTGTGGGTATTAGGTATGAAATTATGGAGATGTCCAGGCTGAATAGAACCAGAAAATTTAGTACAGATTTCACAGGTTTGCCAGGCAAGGGCACTGACAGGAAAATCTTAGGGAACAGGCTTTCACACCAGAAAAATTCAAGACTGTATATTAGACCAAATCCCAAAAGAACACAGCCTCTTTGCCTAATGACAAACTGCTGGCTTAAACTCCGGATTACAGCCAGGATGCTACAGAAAATAAACTGCAGAATGCTTTGTTACAAATGATCGCAGTACTCGTTGGATGCTGAATTCCATTTATCAAATTGCTGATCCAAGAGATATATTTATAAGGACCTGGAGTAACCCAGAAATTTGGCATAAATGAATGCCAGTAAGTGTCAATGAGAGTTCTAGAAATGGCAAAACATGGACTCCCCAGACTCCTGAGTTACAGTGATTAAGATGGAAAGACTAGCTCTGATGGGAACGTATTGGCACGTATTAAGACATGCTTCTTGATCATTGCTTGGAAAGCCTTCTCTCCATCAATTTAAAAAGGTTGAAAGTCTAGGGACTTGGCTAGTTTGTCAGTCAAGGTACCCTGAGGCCTTTCAAGAACTATCTTCAGAAGAGTAGGTCATTCCACTCTGCCTCCAAGTCAGAGAAACTTAATAAAGTATTATTAATTATCACAGACACAAGGATGATGCCCAAATGATTTTTGCTGCAGGAAGACCCTAAAAATAGTTATTCTGGTTAGATAAGGACAACTGATATCTTTCCCTACTCTTATAAAAGCAAGAAAATAAAATGTATTATACATTTGTATAATCCTGTCTTAGCTTTGGCTGAGATAAAATACCATAGACTGAGTAAGTTAAACAATAGAAATTTATTTCTCACAGTTCTAGAGACTGAAAAAACCGAGATCAAGATGCGGGCATATTCAGCTCTTTGTAAGGACTCACTTCCTGGCATACAGATAACCATCTTCTTGAGGAATCCTCACATGATGGAAAGAAAAGCTCTCCTGTCTCTTTTTCATCCTATAAGGGAACTAATCCCATTATGGAGTGTACTAGCCCATTCTCACACTACTATGCAGAAATACCTGAGACTGGTATTCGTAAAGAAAAGAGGTTTCAGTGGCTCACAGTTCCACAGTTCTATGCTCACAGGTGTGGCAGCATCTGCTTCTGGGGAGACCTCAGGAAACTTACAGTCGTGGTGAGAGGCACAGTGGAAGCAGGCATCTTCACATGGCCAGAGAAAGAAAAAGAGAGAGAAGCTGGAGGTGCTACACTCCTTGAAACAGCTAGATCTTGTGAGAACTCACTCACTCACTCACTATCAGGAGAACAGCACCAAGAATATGGTGCTATACCATTCATGTAGGATCCACACCATGATCCAATCACCTCTGACCAGGCCCCACCTCCAACACTGAGAAGTACATTTCAATATAAGGTTGGGGCAGGGACACAGATCCAACCCATATCCCAGGGGTACCACCCTTGTGACCTCATCTAAACTTAATTTGCTTCCAAAGGCCCCATGTTTGAATACCATTACACTGAGGATTAGGGCTTCAGCATATGAATTTTGGGGGACACAGGCATCCAGTACGTAACAGAGCCTAAGGCTGAGAGAGTCCTGTGCTGCTGTTGCTGTGAGGGAAAAAAAGACAGCAGGGTGGCTGGGTTTGAAATTCCATCTCCACGTTTCCATAACCCACATACATCAATATTTCAAATCCAAGTCTCATTTACCTCCCTTCTTCATAGATGTGACAGGGCTAAACAAAATGTCTCTTTAAGAATAAGAAAGGCATATATGTATTGCTTAGCTTATGATAAAAACATATGAGTTTGCAAAGAGCAATACAGAAGTAAAGCCATAAATACTATATTTGTGTTTAAATGTAACATCTGATTAAGAAAAATTTCTATAATACTAATTTTTAAGCTGTTGTATGTTAAAATACGAAAACTCCATATTGCTTTTACTATAGGGAAAAGAAGAAACTTACCCATGGAACAAAACTGGGTAACTAAAATTAGAGTAAGTAGTGATTAGTGATCCAATCTGTTCAAAAGCTTATTATACTTTCTTACTCTGTTTCTTTAAATCCTTCTTTCAATTTTATTCTGACCTGCATTTATTAAACAATTATGTGTAATCATAACTGATTAATATTTATGAATTAACTAACATTATAGTAATCATAATTGTTTAATATGTATGAATTAACTAACAATTATCATATATGAATATACTAATTTTATAAAGATGGGGTGATGAGGCTAAATTGTGAACTATATTTTTGTTTAGCAAATAGAGTTGTATGGAATTATTTTAGTTATCTGTGCTTGGACTAAATCCTGAGTGGGTTTCATTATTTCAGTTAAGAAATAAAAGCTGTGCATCCTATGCACATGTTTGCAAGTACTCACATCAAGAACCTGATTCCTGGGAGAAAATAATCGTGGCAATTTTCTACCTTTAAACTCAAGCATTTGATGGCAAACATCACACATAAATTGTGTGAGATTTTAAACTATATTTATTATTTGCAATTTAAAAATTGATAAAGTTTTGTTTAACTGTATTTGGGAAGCACATTTATATTAATTTTCTTAAAAAAATTAATGGGTCTATATCAAATAATAATTAAAACCTGTTGTTTTATGGAGACTGCCCCCTCTTTGTCTCTAAACATGAAAATAATTAGATAATGATTATAGTGCTTATATGATCATCTTGTTTAATATGCATAATAATCTTGAGAAAAAGGTGATGTACCTATTTTGCACCTGCCAAAACAAATAGTAAAAGAGGTTAATTAACATGGCCCTGCTTAAACAGATGGTAAACGCTGGGATTTAAACCTAGGCCCCAGTAGTCCCAATCATGGTAAACATATGATGTTGCCTCTCTGGTTTAGGTTGTTATTATTCAAAAGAGAGAACTATTTGTTTTTATGCCTTTAAACATTTTGTTTTTTAAAACTGTAGGACATACCCATTTTGGAATCAAATAAATAATACACTCCAAATCTTACTTTCCATAAAATGCTCATATAAGCAATTAGGAATTTCAAAAATTCTAATTTCATAAAATAGCTTATATGGTTTGGCTCAGTGTCCTCACCAAAATATCATGCCTAATTATAATCTCCATGTGTCAGAGGAAGGACCTGGTGGGAGGTGCTGGATCATGGGGGCAGATTTCCCCAAAGCTGTTCTTGTGATAGTGAGTAGGTTCTCACGAGGTCTGATGGTTTAAAAGTGTGGCACTTCCCCCCTCACTCTCCTTCTCCTGCAGCCTTTTGAAAATGGTGCTTGATTCTCCTTCACTTTCTGTCATGATTGTAAGTTTCCTGAGGCCTCCCCAGCAATGCAGAACTGTGAGTCAATTAAACCCCTTTTCTTTATAAATTACCCAGTCTCAGGTAGTTTTTTATAGTACTGTGATAGTAGACCAATACAATGGCTAATTTCAAATCCATTCAATTTTGCTGTCCCCAGTATTAACTGTATAACTGACTCATAGGAGGAAGTAGATCCAAATTAAGCAGAAAATTTTTCCTGACCCCTTTGTATGCAGGAACTGGAGTACACGGGCACTAGAACTAGCCAGCACTTTGGTGCCAGCAGAGGTGGACTCCACTCACTCTATCCTCTTGTGCTCAACCCCTCATGGGAGGGAGCACACAGGTGAGTGGGTGCAGGAGCCAGGGAGAGTGCTTTTGGGTGCTGGCAGGAGCAAAACTCCATGCAGGCCCCACAGCAGCATCTAGGGAGGAGTACTCATGATCTCCAAAGCTCCCTAAGTAGTATTGCCGTCAGCGCTCTTTTAGGTTTGCCATTCAAAGACGGCTCAAGAATTAACAACTCAGTGGAGGATCAGTGTGACAGCCTTTTGCATCCATACTTTTGGTACCCAAGCTCTTGTTGGATATCCAGGAACAATCAGGTCACACAAATGAATTGAAGGGTGGTGAATGTGGAGAATTTTATTGCTGATGAAAGTGGCTCTTGGTGGGAAAGGGAGTTAGAAAGGGGCTGGAGCAGGTAAGTGATCTTCCCCTGGAGTTTGGCCAGCGCATTCCCTTCAAAAGCCACACCACCAAGCCATCCCTCTGAAATCAAGCTGCCTCTCTTTGATGTCCAACTGTACTCTCCAACATCCAGCTGCTTTTCCTCTTTTCTTCCTCTCCTCCTTCTGCTGGCAGAGCCTGGGGTTTTTATGGGCACAGGACGAGGGATGGGGCAGGCCATGGGTGGTTTTGGAAAAGGCAACATTCAAGTGGGAAAACAGGGATATAAAATTCTCAATTTGGGCCATGATTCCAGGTGTGAGGGTGGAGTTCTTTCCCAAGGACCCACCCTCTTCTGCCCAGAATTTCCCTGCCTCCTCTCTCTATGACATACATCTCAACAATCTGTTTTGGATTTTTTTAACACCATGTATAAGGCAGTATGTATGCTGATAGTGACAATGACTTTGCTCCCTATGAAGATGTAAGGGAAGTCATTAAGACGCTAGCATAGGGAGTTTAATGGGAGTGTCAGATAGTGATAGTAGAAGTAATAAGAGCAGACAACCAATGACAATTGTGATAAGAGGTAAGCGGGGCAAGAGGATATTAAAAGGAGGTGAAGAAAAAAGGAAAAATGCAGGAGAAGAAACATTTCAATCTCTAGTGGCCTAAGGCAGGAAGTAGTTAAATATGAGGCCACATAAAATTTCTTCATTTTCTTCTATACTTACTGGCGTTTTCTAATCCAAAGTAACTGGTTAAGCACCTTTACTCTAGGGCAGTGGTTTCCAAACCCGGTTGCTGCACAGTATTATCTGGGAATATAATGCTAAAAAATGTTAATACCTAGGATGTACGCCTCACATTTTGATTTAGTCCAATTTGGGATGAAACAGAGAAATCCACTTTCTGATTATAATTAGGAATTTAATTTTTCTTCCGATGGCATAGGGAGCTTCAACTGTATGTTTAATAATTTGGTGACTGAGAAAGCCATCATTTTATTAACCCAAGATACTGTATTTTACGGCCTATAATCAAAAAACTCTATCCAGGCTATATTGTGATAGTAGAGCAAATTTGAGGTATTGTTTGCAGATTAAAGTTATAATTTAATGCTTACAAATTTAATATATAAATGGTTTGGGTTTAATTACATTAACTACATTTGTTAAATGTGGCAAATAATATTGACTACCAACAGGCATTTCTCCCTTTTCTACTTTGCTAACAGGACCTCAGTTTTGTTATGTATGATGTGATAGTGTTGTCAGGGAAGTTAGATGCTGGGGTTGATCCATGAATAAACCAATTATGTAGACCAATTACAGTATTCCTATTCCCTTTTTCCAGTGACTGGCTTACAGTTGTGCTTCTGGCCAATGAGATTAAAGAAGAAATCTTCCAGGGTTTCTGGAAAAGATTTTCCTCTACGATAAAAAGCTGGGGTTCTACAAGGATTTCATTTACTGGTTTTAGATGCTGTTTTGTGAGTCTCATCATGCCTAGAGTTTGTGATGCTTGGAACTGCTGCCACCTTCTTGAAATTATGGAATTAAAAGCAGCCAATACAATGGAGGCACAAAGAAGAAAAATTAAATGAGCTATGGTTCTTGTGGATATCTTTTGGCTTATTAACCAGCGCTGCTTCTGCTTATCTCTGAACACTTTATGAGGATAGATCACATATGTTTTCATTGTTCAAGTCACTGTTAAAAAGGTATTATTTTATTGCACCTGATACATTGATTTATGCCTTTTCCTTTCTAGCAAGATGTTTTTTACTTAATTCTGGCTCATAGTTTTCAAGCTGGAGGGTACTGCTCTGATTACTCCTGTGCCACATGAGTTCCTTTGTCTTTCTTCTAGCATTTCAGCATTATCATGCTCACCTTACAGCACATTTTCCCCCAAGGGTCTCAATGCTTTCAACTGATGATTTCAGCAAGGTTATTTAAATTTTTGTCAAGAGGAGTAGATTTTTAAAAATAAGATTCCTGGTGTTTTCCATATGTGCTGATTAAATGAGCAGCAGACTAAGCTAAGTTTATTAAAAACAACAAGAATTTTAGCATGAAAGAAAAAGGCCAACAGTAGGGAGCACCACAAAATTAAAATTATAACTTAGCCAAGCTGTGCTGTCAAAATCCAGTGATTTCTGTCTCTTAACTCCAGTGTGGGAAAGTGAGGAAGCTGAAGTGGAAAATATTATTTCTGGGGTCTGGAGACCAAAAGAGGCAAAGTAATTCCTGGCTAGAGGAAATTAGTTCTGTTCAGCAGGATCTGTATGCAAGCTTCTAGGGGCAGCAAGAGAGGGAGAGACCACAGAGCTGATTAAAAAGATCCATCATTCTGTATTCATGAAGCTTACTGTTGTAGGGAGAAACACGAGTGTACGATCAGTGAAACCCAAGATAAAAATGTAGCCGATTCTTAAACAGTACCAGCTTTGGTACAAACCTGTGTTCTGCCATGAAGAACCTTGAGACCTTATCAAAGATAATTCATTTCAGGCCTTCAGTTGCATTCCAAATTAGAGGACATAATGAAGAGTGATAATGGGGAGTCTTTAATATAATAACACATGTAGATCTCTTAGCATATTCCCTGGCCCATAATAAATGGCAATACATGTCATATATTTAAAGTAAAAAAAATCATAAACTATATGTGTATTTATCTAACTAGAAATAAAGAAGGAGAATGGCTATTTGAGTTTCATAAATGATTGAATAATTGATTATTGGGGGCTTAAAACACTGATGAAAGGGGTCATAATTTTGTCATACTGCTTAATTCCATAAAGATAAAAAGCAAAACCAGAAAAAAAGAAAAGGACGGTAAGTCAGGTAGATATTAATGTATTAGTAAAGATTTCGTGCAATTAAAGTACAAGGTGTTGTAAGGCTTATGATATTTTATCTTCATCATAAAGTTTCTAATTTTTTCTCTTACAGCAGAATATTTTATAGACAATACTCTTGAATCAGTAATTATTTTTGCTCCCTCGGGGAAGTTTGACAATGTCTGGAGACACTTTTAGTTGTCATAACTGGCCAGAATTTGCCACTGCAGTCTAGAGGGTAGAGACAAGAAATGCTACTAAACATTCTACCATAAACCGGAAAGCCTCACTACTACCCTCATCAAAGAGTTACCTGGCCCCAAATAGCAACAGTGTCACCGCTAACAAACTCTGTTTCTTTTTCATTGTAGATTCAAGATGTACACGTGCAGGTTTGTTACATGCATATATTGCATAATGCTGGGGTTTGGGCTTCTAGTGACCCCACTACTGAAATGATGAACATAGTACCCAATAGGTAGTTTTTCCAACCCTTGCCTTCCCCATCCCCACCACTACCTTTTTTGGAGTTCCTAGTGTCTCTTGAAGAAACTCATTTTAAATTAATCCAGTTTTTTTTTAAAATAATAAGTGTTACTGAGATAGGAGTGTGTGTCTGCATGTGTTTATGTGTGCGCAAGCACGTGTTCGAATGCAAGAATAGAGGTATTCCACAAATATATAAATCTTCTACAAGCAAGCAAAGAGAAAGAGGAAAAAAGGAGCTTTGATAATCGTCCAGTGTCATCTAGACTACAAGCCCATTATTTGCATAGGATTATGTATTGTATTTAAATGGCAGATTCAGAGCTAAAATCCAGAGTTTTCTACTGCTAAATCAAGGCATACTTCCTGAAATTATCTCCTAAATATCAGCATTAAGATTAGCTATTTTTGTTTCATTAGAGTCATGATAAGCACATTCAATGTTTCTAAGATTTCATGAATACAATAATGATATTTCTTATATTATGTTGTTTCATATCAGAAGCCATGGTTTCCATTTATGCATATTTTTATTGACTTCGGGATTCCCCATAAGATATACATTTATAAATGTTCTAGAATCTAGCCACTGTTTAATTTATAATGTAAATGGCACAAGCATATAATTTTAAGCATAACAAAACATTTTTTTTTTGTTCTTCCTACTCATGTAACAAAAGATTTTGTGCTAATTCTTTGTACCTTACTTATTGACTGTGTTTGCAAGTATGGTCATTCTGAAAGAGAGTAGGTATTTTCTGTAACTGTGCAAGTTCTGACTCAGAAACAAAATTAATCAGTAGAGGTAATATAACCTTGACCTTCTTTTAAAATATGTATTTGTGTAAAGTATGTTGCTTCAAACAATACAAAAGGGTAAGAAAGTGCCTATGCTGTACAGTAATACACAGCTTTATTAATTCAAGCTGTTTGTACTGCAGGGAAAGAACGCCTACTCCTGAACTCCTCTGCATTCTCCTCTTGAACCAAAGCAAAGAATTACAGAGGCAGAGCTAGTGATGCTGCAGCCTCTTAGTGAGACCATGTTTCTCATGGGCTTCCAGGGCTGCAGTCAGCTGTGACTGTGAGAAATTGAATACAAGCTTTGAATATCGGTCTCCCTTTCCCTGTCTGTTAGCAAAGATTACAAACCATGCAGAGCCAACAGGAGCAGAGTCATAAGGGCATTCTTGAATGCCCACAGATTTGGCTATTTATTAAACTCTTTGATAATGGGGTCTCCATCACTGGAAATATTCAATATGGAGTAATGTGTTTTTAAAGGGAATCAATCATTGCATAAGTAGCAGTCATAGAAAATATCTAGCATTTCTTCCATGACTGACATTTTTAATCAGGGTTTTACTCAACATACCTTCCATATTATGTATAAGAAAACAAATATCACTAGCAAAAATACACAGACATGGAGAAAACAAAATGCACCTAAACATTTTATTTTTAAAAAATGGCTAATGTGAACGCTTACAATTGTTTTGTAACAATGAATTATATAAATTTTTCTTATTTATCTTAAATATTAATATGTTGAATAAATTGCTATTGTTCACGCTAGAATTATATATATGCAAATCATGTTTTATCTTACATTCCCTCTATTTTTTGATGCTTTGTGCCATGGCAGGCACTGCCCTTCAAAAGAAGTTCATGTCCTCATCCCTGCAATCTTTGAAAATTTTATATTACATGACAAAGGGGAATTTAAGTAGCAGATGGAATTAAGGTTAATAATTGTGCGACCTTGAAATGGGGAGATTATCCTGGATTAGTTGAGTGAGCCCAACTTAATCACGTGTTCTTAATTGTGGAAGAGACAGGCAAAAGTGTCAGAGGGATGCTATGTGAGAAAGACTCAATCAGCCATTGTTCACTTTGAAGATGCAATAGGGCAACAAGCCAAGAGATGTGAGCAGCATCTGGTAACTGGAAAAGGCAAGAAAACAAACTCTTTGTAGAGCCTTCAGAAAGGAACATAGCACTTCCAAGTCCTTGTTTTTAGCCAGGTGAGCCCTATTTCAGACATCTGACCTACAGAACTGTGAGATAATAAATTTGTGTTCTTTTAAGCAACTAAGTATATTTTACTTTATAACAGCAGCAATGGGCGACTAATACAGTGCTAAATAAAAACCTCAACCCTGTTGAATCTGTTTGGTTGTATTTTTGGTTGCAAGTAAAATACAACTCAAACTAACTGAGGCAGAAGCTCAGAAAGGACAAATGCTCGTGCGATTTGGGAATAACTGGAATCATGAATTCAACAAACATCCGTGAGCTTTTCTCTCCTATAGTCTCTACTTCTCTATGTTTTGTCTTCATTATTTCAAGCAGCCTTTCCGGACACGTGATCACAGTCAGCAGGCAGATCCCAGAGACAAAGCACCTTAGCTTCATCTCTAATTAGGATTTTCAACTGAAAAAGAAAAACCCCAGTTAAGAGCCCAAATGGATCACTATATTCTCTTGTCCAGGTGGCCAATTTATCACTTCAAGCCTTTCAATAGAAAAACAAGAATGGATGGAGTGAGGGGAGTTTCCTAAAAGAATGTTGGTGTTTTACGATAAGGGAAGTGGTGCCTGCAGATAAAAGTAGAATCTACAACACAGGGTTTCGTGTATCCTCAATACACAGAATGGAAATCAGATCAATACTGCCTTCCAAATTGTAACAATGATAGAGAGAAACCAGTGATTACATAAACTAGTAGAAATAAGAAAAGAAATATATACATTAGTTCCAGGCACCCAAATTATCTTTGAAGATTGATTTTAGTGTTGGAAGAAATAAAAGTAATTGGAAAGTCAAGCTTTAACACTTTGAGCTTTAGGCTATTATAGGTTTTGTGTTTCGAAGTATTTCATATAAAGAGTAGCTAGATTTTTGGAAACATTAGGTTACCTACCATAATGGTTTCAGGAATGATTGCAAAGAAGCAAATGTAATTTAGATAGTCTAATGTGCTCCATTCCATTACCAAAATGAATTTCATTAGATTTACATTTGATTACCTTCAGTTTTAGCTTAAATTTTTATTACATGAACTATTCCAATGGTTGGATCTTCTAAAAATATTAGAATTGTGCATTTAAAAATATTGTTTTTCAAGACCTTATTTTGAAGTCCTCTCTCCCTCTGGCAGCTGTTCTACTTATCTGTCAAACAACCCTCAGGGTATTACAACTCTTCAGTATATTGATAGGTAAAGAAAGATCATCTCTTTTAGTAGATTTTTAAAGTTCTTTTTAAGTTCTTTGGAAACCCAATATTAATTTATGCAACATTAAACCACAAATAAAATTGAGAAAGTCTCATTTAATGACAATTTAAAAGTCTATATATTATTTTGTTAAGATCTTTAGGAAAACATAATAAACTATAATTCCTTTTACAAAATTCGGAAAATGCTCACTATTTCAGATATAAAGTAGCTCTCCAGAAATTTCAAATGAGTTTTACAAGAAATTATTGTTGAAAAGTAAATGCCACATGTCTTTAGCACAAATCAGTTTTCATGACCAATAATTATATATTCATCTTGTTCATTTTCAGTTTTTTATTTATAAGCATATATCTAGAAGCTTCATGTTAACTCCCCTAAATCAATGGAATATTTTAGCTTTATCTAATGTTTGACTTTTATGTCACAAAATTAATTATGAGCTTCATAATTTTTTAATGATAAAACAATATCAGCTTGGAAAATCAGAATATTTTCTGGTAATCAATCAAAATCTTGCCTAGATATAGTTTGGATTCTTTGAAAGACTGACACTTAACACCAATGTACTGCCAAATTTAAATATCAGAGTTCTAAGAGAGTTCAAGGGCAAAGTTGATACCTCTGCAGTAAGAAGAACTGAAGAAAAACATGGCTGGGCACGGCGGTTCACACCTGTAAACCCAGCACTTTGGGAGGCTGAGGCGGGTGGATCACGAGGTCAGAAGATCGAGACCATCCTGACCAACATGGTAAAACCCTGTCTCTACTAAAAATACAAAAATTAGCTGGGCATGGTGGTGCGAGCCTGTAGTCCCAGCTACTCAGGAGGCTGAGGCAGGAGAATCACTTGAACCAGGGAGGCAGAGGTTGTAGTGAGACAAGACAGCACCACTGCACTCCAGCCTGGCAATAGAGCAAGACTCAGTCTCAAGAAAAAAAAAAAGGGAAAAAGAAAAAGAAAAGAAAAACATAAAGGTATTCATTGCTTTATTAATATTGTGAAGAAATGCACATTAGATATATGTGGGGACATTTTCTAAAGAGACATATTATTTTATCTAGTGCTATTTTATGGACACAGGAGCAATTTATTCAGAATTAAATAAAGCCTCTCTTCAATAGAACTGTCAAATTGGTATACTCTTTTTCAAGTAGTAAGCAGTATGATTTGAACCACAGGGATTGTGGGTATGAATAATTGGACACTGGATCCTCAGAAATTTTTTTAAAATAGGCTGAGTGTGGTGGCTCACACTTGTAATCCCAGCAACTTGGGAGACTGGGGCAGGAATTTGAGACCAGACTAGGCAACATAGTGAAACCTGGTCTCTATGAAAATATAAATTAAAATATTAGCCAGGTGTAGTGATACATTCCTGTAGTCATAACTACTTGGGAGAATCATTTGAGCCCAGGAATTCAGGGCTGCAGTGAGCTATGATCAAGCCAATGCATTCTAGTCCTCCAGCCTGGGTTACAGAGCAAGACACTATCTCAAATAAATAAATAAATAGATAGATAATAAAATAGTCTATGAAAGTAATATTTTATCTATACAACATAAAAAATTACTTCCTTCTTAAAAACTTCAAATCAAAAGCCAATAGCTTTTTCCCAGTTGCTAAATTTGAAGAAATTCATAGACTCAGAACCCCATTAACTAAAGGCAGGTTTGATTTTCTTAAGCAGTTGTTATGAAAATATGGTCCTTTGTTCAACAACATTAGCATCACTTGGAAATGGACTAGAGAAATTCTCGTGAAATATTACACCCCCGACTACATCAGAAACTCAGAGTTTGGGCCCAGTAATCTTTTAAAAATCCCTTTAGGTGATCTTGAAGTGTGCTACAGTTTGAGAACCACTGTTCTTAAGGATGAACAATGTGATTTACAAAACCTGCCCTAAGAGAACTGTGCCCATTTGTCAGGATGACTATATACTAGGAAATTAATATACACACATCTTGGGAAGATGTTTAGATATTGGTTCTAACTAGTTCTTTTTGGTCAGAAAGGGAGTTTACAAAGCTGAGATCACAAAGTTTGGGCTCAGGTTTATCTTTCAAAAGGCCCAGGAATTCCACAAATACTATGCGAAGCTATTTCTTGAGTTATTGAAGGAAAAGTTAAAATAGATACATCTGTCAAATGGCATAATCTATAGCTTGGTTCTCTGACTCTTAAAGTGAGGGCTATTATTCCTGAAGGATCCAGTGGAAACTTGTATGGATGAGACCATCCACGCATACTAAAATGTTAAACCAAAGAAATGCCACATTTCTGGAAATTTTCGGAGATCTGTGAGACTGTTAAAGATTTGAAAGATGCAAAAGTGATGTTCTTATCACACTGCTCTTTTACATGATCTGTTTGGTAAAAAATCAGATGACTCCTACAGTGAGATCCTAACTATAACCATCTTTGAGGCCAGAGATATGGCATCCTTGCTAAAGTAATTCAACACTGTTCCTGGCACCTAGTAGCTATTGGGATCTGTCAAATTTATTATTTTCGTGCCAGTCAAAAATTATATCACAAACAGTGGTAGGGATAGAAATCCACCTTAATTCTCATTTCTCAGGAATAGTTCAACTGTATTGTTGTCTATCTCACTATTGTACCTAATAACATTTTAGTACTTTTTTTTAACTTTTTTATTTTTTACATTGACAGATAATGATGTATGTATTTACCTTGTACAACATGACGCATTATCTAACATGGTTGTTACTTTTGTGGTAACATAACTTTTTATTCACTCTCTTATTTTTCAATATGAAAAATTATTAACTATAATTACCAGGTTATAAAATAGATCTCTTGAAATTATTTCTCTTGTTAATTATATTTATTTTTCTTTGAGCATTATCTCTTCACTCCCACTACCAAACATTCCAGCCCCTGAGATCAACTTGTTTGTATTCTCCAAATATGTGAGATCATGCATGATTTATGTTTCTGCAACTGGCTCATTTCATAAATTCCTCCAACTTCATCCATTTTCACATAAACAACAAGATTTTCTTATTTTTTATGGCTTAATAGTACACAGTATTTCATTGTGTATACATCCTACATTATCCGTTCATTCATTTATGGAAAATTAGATTGATTTTGTCTACTTGCAATTGTGAATAGTGCTGCAATAAACATATGTATAAGTCCTACTACTAATAGTGGGATTGATGTATTATACGGTAGTTCTAATATTAATTTTTTGAGGAAAGTCCATACTATTTTTCATAATGGCTGTACTAATTTACATTCCCACCAACAATGTGCAAAAATATTTTTCCCACATCCTCACCAATACTTGATTTTTGTCTTTTCGATGATAGGCATTCTAATAAATATAAGGATATCTCATTGCAGCTGTGACTTCCGTTACCCTGATGATTAATGATGCTGAGCATTTATTCATATACTTGTTGTGCATTTATGTGTCTTTTTTTGAGAAATATCTTTTTAGGTCCTAACCCGTGTTTTAATCAGATTATTTGTTTTCTTGCTATTAATTTGTTTGAATTACTTATATATTTTTGGATATTAACTGCTTATCAGTTGTAGAGTTTGCTACTATTTTCTCCCATTCTGTAGACTGTCTCTTCACTCGGTTGTTTTCTTTGCTAGGCTGAAGGTATTTAGTTTGATGTAATACCATTTATTTACTTTTGCTTTTGTTGCCTGTGTTTTTAGGGTTGTATTAAAAAAATCATTGCCCAGCAAACATCATGGAGCTTTTCCTCTATGTATTCTTCTAGCATTTTATCATTTTAGGCTTTACATTACATTTTTAAACCATTTCAGTTTATTTTTGTATATGGTGTGAGATAGGGGTCTAATTTCATTCTTCTGCATGAGTATATCCAGTTTCTCTAAAACAATTTATTAAAGAGATTGTCCTGTCTCCATTGTGTATTCTTGGCTCCTTTGCCAAAAATCAGTTAGTTGAAGATATGTGGATTTATTTCTAGGCTTTTTATTCTGTTTTGTTGTTCTCAGTGGCTTGCTCACCTATGGCAGTTGTCCTCACACATTTTGGCCCTGGAGCACATAAGGCAAATGGGAGAGCCCCTAGCAAGAGCCAGGGAAAGAGTCCTTTGTATATTGCAAAAGCCTTAGGCAGAGGAGAGGAAGACCCAGCAACGCCTAGACTTCACTGGCTGCTACTCTGTGTCCGTTTTTATATCAGTACCATGCTGGTTTAGTTACTGCATTTTTGTAGTATATTTTGAAGACAGGTACTATAATGTCTCCATCTTTGTTCTTTATGTTCAGATTATTTTGGCTATTCAGGGTATTTTGTGGTTCTATACAAATTGCAGAATTGTTGTTTCCATTTCTGAGAAGAATGTCCTTGGTATTTTGAGAGAGATTTTATTGAATCTGTAGATTGCTTTGGGTGGTATGGACATTTTAACAATATTAACTATTCCAATCCATAAACAATGTATATCTTTCCATTTATTTGTGTCTTAATTACTTTTATCCATGTTTTATAGTTTTAGTGCAGAGATCTTCCATCTCGTTAGTTAAATTTATTCCTATCTATCATTTTAGTTATGATAAATATAATTTTTGTGAATTTCTTTTCATATAGTCCACTGTCATATAGAAACACTACTGATTTTTACGTATGTATTTTGTATCCTGCAACTTTACCAAAATCACTTTTTGGTTTTAACAGATTTTTGATGAAGTCTTTAGAGTTTTCTATTCATATTATCATCTTGCCAGCAAACAGGGACAATTTAACATGTTCCTTTAAAATTGAGTGACTTTGTGAAAGGAAAATAAAATCTTGGGACCCCAATTCACTATAAAGAAGGAAAAAATTAAGCTGAAAGCTGAGTCAAGCAAGAAACTGCCTTTTGTTCCTAAGCAGAGAGCTATATATAAAAGGTTAAATATCTCCACAGGTAGTTACCCTATGATCAGCTTATCTTATGTAAAGTGCTGATTTATTGAGCACTAAACACTAGATGAATAAATAATTGGTTATTCCCCTACTCGTTCCTTTTCCCTTATAACATGTAAATTACTACACATTTCCTCTTTCCCTTCCAGCCTACTTTTCCTCTTTAAATATTGAGGCCCTCAAAATCATCTTTGGAGAGAGGCACAGATCTCTTTCCTGGGCATGTCCTTAACCTTGGCTAAATAAACTTCTCAATTGATTGAGACTTGCCTCCAGTTCTTTTTGCTTTACAACTCTTATTTCTTCCTCTTGCTTACCTTTTCTGGCTAAGACCTCCAGTACCATATAGCATAGAAGTGGTGAGAGTGGGCATCTTTGTCTCATTCTGGATCTTAAAAGAAAAGCTTTCAACTTTTTCTCATTGAATATGATGTTATATGCGGATTTGTCATATATGATCTTTATTATCTTGAGGTACATTCCTTCTATACGTAATTTGTTGAGAGGTTATTGAAAGAGTGTTGAATTTTATCAAATGTGATTTTTGCATCTATTAAAATGATCATATGATTTTTGTCCTTCAGTGTGTTAATGAGATGTATTACATATGTTGTTTTACAAATATTGAACGATTCCTTGCATACCTGAAATTCATACATTGTGATCTTATGTGAATGGTCTTTTTATGTCCTTCCAGATTTGTTTTGGCAATATTCTGTTGAAGATTGTTGCATCTATGTTCATTAGGAACATTGACCTGTGTATTACTCTGCTTTCATGCTGCTGATAAAGACATACCTGAGGCTGGGCAACTTACAGAAGAAAGAGGTTTATTGGACTTACAGTTCCATGTGGCTGGGGAGGCCTCACAATCATGGCAGAAGATGAAAGGCATGTCTCCCACGGTGGCAGACAAGAGAAGAAAACTTGTGCATGAAAACTCCCCTTTTTTTAAAACATCAAAACTTGTGAGACTCATTCACTATCATGAGAACAGCCTGGTAAAGACCCACCCCCATAATTCAATCACCTCCCTCTGGGTTCCTCCCATGACATTTCGGAATTGTGGGAGTTACAATTTAAGATGAGATTTGGGTGGACACAGCCAAACCATATCATTCCACCCCTGGCCATCCCAAATGTCATGTCTTCACATTTCAAAACCCGTCATGCCTTCCCAACAGTCCCCCTGAAGTTTTAACTCATTTCAGCATTAACTCAAAAGTCCACAGTCCAAAGTCTCATCAGAAACAAGGCAAGTCCCTTCCACCTATAAGCCTGTCAAATCAAAAGCAATTTAGTTACTTCCTAGATATACTAGGGGTACAGGCATTGGGTAAATACAGATATTCCAAGGGGAAAATTGGCCAAAACAAAGGGTCTACAGGCTCCATGCAAGTCCAAAATCCAGCACATCAGCCAAATCTCAAAGGTCCAAAATGTTCTCCTTTGACTCCAGGTCTCAAATCTAGGTCACACTAATTTAAGAGGTGAGCCCCCACAGCCTTGGGAAGCTCCACCCCTGTGGCTTTTCAGGGTGTAGCCCTCCTCCGGGCTGCTTTCACAGGCTGGTGTTGAGTGTCTGTGGCTTTTCCAGGTGCATGGTGCAAGCTTCTGGTAGATCTAACATTCTGGGGTCTGGAGGATAGTGGCCCTCTTCTCACAGCTCCACTAGGCAGCACTCCAGTAGAGACTCTGTGTGGGGACTCTGATCTCACATAATCCTTCTGCACTGCCCTAGCAGAGGTTTTCCATAATGGCCCCACCCCTGAAGCAAACTTCTGTGCGGGCATCCAGGCATTTCCATAAATCCTCTGAAATCTAGGCGGAGGTTCCCAAACCTCAATTCTTGATTTCTGTGCACCCAAAGGCTCAACACCACATGGAAGCTGCCAAGGCTTTGGGCTTGCACCCCCTGAAACCATGGCCTGAGCTCTATGTTGGCCCCTTTGAGCCATGGCTGGAGCAGCTGAGACACAGGGCACCAAGTCCCTAGGCTTCACACAGCACAGGGACCCTGGACCTAGCCCAGGAAACTACTTTTTCCTCCTAGCCCTCTAGGCCTGTGATTGGAGGGGCTGCCTTGAAGACCACTGACATGCCCTGGAGACATTCTCCCCATTATCTTGGGGATTAACATTTGGCTACTCATTGTTCATGCAAATTTCTGCAGCTGGCTTGAATTTCTCCTATGAAAATGGGATTTTCTTTTCCATTCCATTGTCAGGCTGCAAATTTTCTGAACTTTTATGCTTTGCTTTCCTTACAAAACTGAATGCCTTTAACAACACCCAAGTCACCTGTTGAGTGCTTTGCTGCTTAGAAATTTTTTTCACCAGATACTCTAAATTATCTCTCTCAAATTTAAAGTTCCACAAATCTCTAGGGCAGAGGCAAAATGCCAACAGTCTCTTTGTTAAAACATAACAAGAGTCACCTTTGCTCCAGTTCCCAACAAGTTCCTCATTTCCATCTGAGATCACCTCAGCCTGGGCCTCACTCCCAGTATCAATTTACTGTATTAGTCTCTTTCACCCTGCTGATAAAGACATACCCAGGACTGGGTAATTTACAAAAGAAAGAGATTTATTGGACTTACAATTCCACATGACTGGGGAGGCCTCACAATCATGGCATAAAGTAAAAGGCATGTCTCACATAGTGGCAGACAAGAGAAGAGAGCTTCTGTAGAGAAACTCCCATTTTTAAAACCACCTCATGAGGCTTATTCAATATCACAAGAATGGTGAAGGAAAGACCCACCCCCATAATTTAATCACCTCCCACCAGGTTCCTCCCATTATGTGTGGGAATTGTGGAAGTTACAATTCAAGATGATATTTGAGTGGGGACACAGCCAAACCATATTTTTGGCAATGTCTTTGTCTGGCTTTGGTGTCAAGGTGATGCTAGTCTTGTAAAATGAGTTTGGACACATTCCTACCTTTTATATATATTTTTGGAAGACCTTTAGAAAAATTGTCATTTGCTCTTTAAATATTTGATAGAATTCAGCAGAGAAGCCACCAGGCACTGGGCTTTTTTTTTTTTTTAGGAAACTCCTTTTATTACTTATCCAATCTTCTCACTCATTATTGATGTATTAAGATTTTATATTTCTCTCTAATTCAGTCCTGATAGGTTTTATTTTCTATAAATGTATCTCTTCCAGGTTATCCAAATTTTTGACATATTATTAAAAATAGTCTCATAACCTTTCATATTTCTGTCATATTAGCTGTAATATCTCCTTTGTATTTCTGATGTTAGCTAGGACAGCTAAAGTTTTGTCAATTTTATTTATTTTTCAAAAGCCAACTCTTAGTTTCATTGATATTTTCTATTTTTTTTCTGTTCTCTATTTCTTTTTTTTTTTTCTGTGATCTTTTTGTTTTGTTTTGTTTTGTTTTTTTGAGACAGAGTCTCACTCTGTAACCCAGCCTGGAGTGCAATGGCACAATCTAGGCTCACTGCAACCTCCATTTCCTGAGTTCAAGCAATTCCTCTGTCTCAGCCTCCTGAGTAGCTGGGATTACAGGCGCCAGCCACCATACCAGGCTAATGTTTTGTATCTTTAGTAGAGACAGGGTTTCACCATGTTTGCCAGGCTGGTCACAAACTCCTGACCTTGTGATCTGCCCGCCTCGGCCTCCCAGAGTGCTGGGATTACAGATGTGAGCCACCACACCTGGCCCTTGCTGTGATCTTTATTAATTTCTTTCTTTTACTAACTTTGGGCTTAGTTTGTTCTTTTTTTTCTAGTTTCTTGAGGTGCACCATTAGATTGTTTCTTTGAGATCTTTTTTCTTTTTTGATGTAGGTGTTTATTGCTATAAACTTCCCACTTAGAACTGTTTTTGCTGTATTTCTTAGGTTTGTGTATGTTGTGTTTCCATTTTCATTTGTCTCAAGAACGTTTAAAATTTTCCTTTTAACTTCTTCATTGACCCATTGCTTGTTCAAGAGCCCATCATTTATTTTCTGGGTTTTTTGAATTTCCAGTGTTCCTATTTGGGATTAATTAATACAAAATTATTAATTTTTAGTTTTGTACCATGGTGGTTGAAAAGATACTTAATGTATTTTCAATCTTTACAATTCTTTTAATACTCTTACACCTGTTTTATATCCTAACACATGATCTTTCCTGGAGAATGCTCCATGTGCTGTTGAAAAAAATACAAATTCTGTAGTGGTTGGATAGAATGTTCTGTATATGTAGTTGAAGTCTGATTTTCTTGTATTGATTTTTTTATCTGGACGATCTGTCCACTACTGGAAGTGGGGTGTTGAAGTCTCCTACTATAATTGTATTTTAGTCTATCTTTCTCTTCAGTCCTATTTGTGTTTTCTTTATATATTATGTTCTGATGAGTTCACATATATTTATAATTATTATATCCACTTGATGAATGGACCTCTTTATATCTTTATATAATGATGCTTTTGGGTTTTTTTTTTACAATGTTTGACTTAAAGCCTATTTTATCTAATACATATAGCTATCCTGATCTCTTTTGATATCTACTTGCATGAAATATCTTTTATCATCTCTTCACTTTCAGTCTATGTGTGTCCCTATAGGCATATATGCTCTTGTAAGCAGCATACAGTTATTTTGTTGCTATCTTTAAAATTCATTCAGTTTCTCTATGTCTTTTGATTGGTGAATTTAATCTATTTACATTCAAGATTATTGCTAATAGATAAGGACTTGCTACTGCCATTTTATCTATTATTTCTATTTCTTTTGTATATTTTACTATTCTTTCTACTTTTCTGTCTTTCTTTGTAGATAAGTGATTTTCTCTAGTGGTATGTTTTGATTTAACATTGTGTGTGTGTGTGTATCTACTACAGGTTTTTTGTTTTGTGGTTACCATGAGTCTTAAAATAAACATCTTATAGTAATAACATGCTTTTTTCAGCTAATAATAACTTAACTTTGATTGAAAAAAACACTACACTTTTACTTCATTCCTCCCAACATTTTGAAATTTTGATATTACATTTTACATCTTTTTGTATTGCATATCCCTAAAAAATACTGTAACTAATAGTATTTTAACAGTTTTGTCTTATAGTATTAATACAAAAGATATAAGTAATTTATATACTATGATTTCAGTGTTAGATAATTCTGTATTTGCCTGTGTACTTTATCAGTGAGTTTTATACTTTTAGATGTTTTTGTGTTTCTCATTAGCAACCTTTTCTTACAGCTCAAATAACTCCCTTTAGCATTTCTTGTAAGATGATTTTGGTTGTGATAAATTCTCTCAACTTAAGTTTCATAGTAAATTATTTCTCTCTCCTTAATTTCTGAAGAGTATAATATTCTTGGTTGGTATTTACCTTCAGCACTTCTGAATATATTATTCCACTCTCTCCAAGCCTATAAGGTTTTGGCTGAGAAATCATCAGCTACTCATATTGAAACTCCCTTATATGTTATCTTTTGTTTTGCTGCCTTCCAGATCCTCTCTTTGTCTTTGATGTTTGACAGTTTGATTATAGGTCATTTCTTAGAGTACTCTTATTTGGATGGAATAGGATTAGAGAACTTTGACCTTTCTATGTCTGGATAGTTACATCTTTCTCCAGGTTTGGAAAATTTTCTGCAACTGTTTCTTTAGATAAGCTTTCTATACCTTTGTCTATTTCTTCTTCAACTTCTATGACTCAAAAAAAATTACTCTTTTATGCTGCCCCATTAATCCTGTAAGATTTCTTTATTATTATTTTTTTCTTTTTTTCTCTTGTCTCCTCTGACTATATTCTCAAACATCCTTTCTTCAGGTTCACAGATATTTTTCTTGTACTTGATAAATTTTGCTATTGATGCTCTCTATTGCACTTTGCATTTCATTTATTGTATTTCTTAGGCCCAACATTTTTGGGTTTTTAGTTATTATTGAAACCTCTCTATTAAAGTTCTCATTCTGGTCACATTGTTTTCCTTATTTTGGTTAATTTTTTTCTGTGTATTTTCTTGAAGTTTGCTAAGCTTCCTAATAATATTTATTTTGAATTCTTTTTCAAGATGTTAATACATCTCTGTCTCTAACTTAGTTACTTGTACTTTACTTTGCTGGTTTAGTGATATTGTATTTCCCTAATTGTTCTTGATCCTAATGGTTATCCATCAGTGTTTGCATATTTGAAGAAGCAGATACTTATTCCACTCTCCACAAACTAGTCTTGTCTGCAGCAGATTAGAAACTTAGGACGGATGCAGTCAGCATGGCGCCACCTGAGCCTGGGATTCACTAAGGCAGGCGTGATGCTGGGACACTAAGTCATGAAGCTAGGAGCCACTAAGAGCTGCCTGTTGCTTAGGGCTGTCTGGGGCCCAGGGCCACTGACATTGGCTCAGCAATGGTACAGATCAGAGGCTGAGTTCTCAAAAAATGCCTGGCACCTGGGGCTGTGTGATCCCTCCTGGCACCAAGTCAGTTCTAAACAGTTAGTCCATTTGTACTCACCTGAAATGTAGGGTCATGAGTGTCTGCCCAGTGCTGGGTTTTACTGTGGTGGGCCTAGTGTTGAGTCCAAGACAAAGTCCTATGCTTCCTTCTCTCTCTCTCTCACAAGTGGATGGTATCTCTTCCCATGCTGTGCTCCCTATGGTTGGGGGAGGGGTGACACATACGATGTCATACTGTTCTTCTTACTCTCTTCAATGCATATTTTCTTAATATTGTGCTATAATCAGGTAATGTGATCTCTTACCTGTGTTCCTTCGCTATTGGGAAAGTATTTTTGCATGTAGACAGTTGTTTAAGTTGATTTTTATGCAGAGCAATGATTGCTGGAGAGTCTTCTCTGCCATCTTTCTTCAATTCCCATCACAAATTCCAATAACCCGCTTTTAGCACTTTTGCTTCCAACCCAGTCAAACCTGATCTCTGCTGTTCCAGGTTTATTGGCTCCCAAAATGGTCCTATTAAACTTGAAATTGAAAAGACTTCCTGGATACTTTGGACACTTCTGTCTCACTGACAAAAGGAAAATGTATGCAAGGGTCTTTCTTTGCTTCTTTGCTGGTTAGAGTAAATGGCCTTAAAAAAAAAGGCTAAATATATCAGATAGCTTCCTGACCAGTTAAAGAAATAAGAACTGTGGATTCTATGCATAATTTTATTAGGTAGCTATTTATAGCCACATTTATTATCAATTATGAGTATTGCTTTTTTCTTTTTTCTCTTTTCTTATTATTTTAGATAAAACTTATTAGAAATTACTAATTTTATAAGTTCATAGATCATGAAAATGAAAGAAGATATATCTGGGCCTTGTGCTAGAGATCTTGAGTTTCTTGCAATGGCTAATGGAGTTTTGCTGTTCTCATTATTGATGGGGGAGAGAAGAAGAAAAAGAAGAAAGAAGAAGAAGGAGGAGGAAGAGAAGGAGGAGAAAAGGAGAAGAGGAGAAGGAAAAAGGAGAAGGAGGGGAAAGAAAAGGGCAAGCTGATTATATCTATTTTTATTTGATAAATAGTTGACTCATGTCAAACGAAAGAATATTGTTTCTTTCTTTTTCTTTTTCTTTTTCTTTTTTAGATGGAATCTCACTCTGTTCCCAGGCTGGAGTGCAGTGGCGCAATCTCGGCTCACTGCAACCTCTGCCTCCTGGGTTCAAGCGATTCTCCTGCGTCAGCCTCCCGAGTAGCTGGGACTACAGGCATGTGCCACCAATCCCAGCTAATTTTATTTTGTATTTTTAGTAGAGATGGGCTTTTACCATGTTGGTCAACATGGTCTCGATCTCTTGACCTCGTGATCCACCCGCCTTGGCCTCCCAAAGTGCTGGGATTACAGGCCTGAGCCACTGTGTGCCAGGGCAGAATGCTGTTTCTTAATGTGAGTAAAATGATGAGCATAGATACCAAAGAGTAAAAGAGGAGAGAGCATTTCCATTGTTAGACTTTGGCTCCTCTCTTCCCTAATCTGCTTGTTATAATGGAGAGGGAGATGTTTTCAACTACTGAATATTTTATTTCCCAGACTCCAGTATCAACTTAATTTTTACTGGAGGATGTCAGCAAAATATTGAAGGCCAATGTATCCCATTTCCCTTTTTACATCAGCTAACTTTTCTGGCAGCCTTTATTTGTCCTTTGTAATTTCAACTCCCACTCTCATCAGCAGATTAAGCTTCTTTCAGTTGATCAAGACTTCTGGAACACAGAAACACCATTATTTTCATTTGCCTCTCATGAAGGGGCAAAACTAGTAGGGTCTTGTGTCTTTTTTCTTCTAGATTATTTTATCAGCTCTTATATAGCTCTCAAGCTCTTCACCACCTATTTAAATGCAGAAATTCCCTCTGTGTCAATTTTTTAAAAATTGTTTAGCTAGACAATGACTGATATAAAACTTGAGAAAAATGGCCATTTCCCTATAATGCAACAGCTTTGGGAAATTTCAGTACAGGATTTATTTTGTTTTGTTTCTTTTTCAACTTTTATTTTTAGGATGAGGGGGTTGTTTTGTGCAGGTTTGCTACATAAGTAAATTGTGTGTCACTGGAGTTTGGTGTACAAATGATTTCATCACCCAGGTAGTGAGCATAGTACCCAATAGGTATCTTTTCCACCCTCACCCTTCTCCCACCCTTCTCTCTCAAGTAGACCCCTGTGTCTGTTGTTCTTTTTGTGTGTGTCCATCTGTACTCAATGTTTAGCTTCCACTTATAAGTGAGATCATGTGGCATTTGTATTTCAGATAAGAAAAGGTTAACCAATATAGACACAGACATACTTTAAAAGGGATTTGGGTACCATTAGATCTTTAGTGGTGGTTCTTTGTGCTTCTTCATGTAACTGCTGCCTTCATTCTGGTGATAGTTATTTGAGGGGTACAGGTAAACCTTCTGATCGGGACAAGAATTAGTACATAATACCTTTCCATTTTAAATTCATATATAAGTTCACAGTAAGAAAATTTATGAGCTTTACCGATTGTTATAGCTTTATTAGATACATTTCTAAAATTTATCTAATAGTAGTATTTTCCTTTAGGATAGGAACTCAATCTGCTCTTATGGTAGTTGATACATATACTTATTTGGATTATTTTCTTATCCCCTGTGTGTAATGCCATATTAGTTTGCCAGAGTCATCATATAAAAGTTCCACAAGCTGAATGGCTTAAACAACAGAAATTTATTTTCTCACAGTTCTTGAGGCTGGAAGTCTGAGATCAAGGTTTCGGCAGGGTTGGTTCCTTATGCGAGACTGTGAAAGAAGAATGTTTCAGGCCCTTCTCCTTGACTTTATGTAAACCCTGTCTCCTCCCTGTGTCTTCACGTGTTCTTCCCCGCGTGAGTGTGTCTCTTGATGCCCAAACTTGCAATTCTAATAAAGACATCAGTTGTACTGAATTAGAATTAGGGCCCACCCTAATGACCTCATTTTACCATAATTACCTTTTTTTTTTTTTTTTTTTTTTTTTGAGACGGTGTCTCTCTCTGTCGCCCAGGCTGGAGTACAGTAGCGTGATCTCGGCTCACTGCAAGCACCGCCTCCAGGGTTCACGCCATTCTCCTGCCTCAGCCTCCCGAGTAGCTGGGACCACAGGCACCCACCACCACGCCCAGCTAATTTTTTTTTTTTTGGTATTTTTAGTAGAGATGGGATTTTACCGTGTTAGCCAGGATGGTCTCAATCTCCTGACCTCATGATCTGCCCGCCTCGGCCTCCCAAAGTGTTGGGATTGCAGGCGTGAGCCACCGCACCCAGCCCATAATTACCTCTTAAAGATTGTATCTTCAGATACAGTCACATTCTAAGTACTCAAAATTTGTATTTCAATATATGAATTTTGGGGAAACATAATTCAGTCCATAAAAAATGGAGTCAGCAATTGTTCCAGAGTCGTATCCCTTTCCATAGAAAAGACACATAATCTGGTATTATGTTATCTAGCCTACCTTTTCCTTACCTATATGTGTGGCCTTATTACTAGTCCTTAGCAAAGAATGCTATGAGAAAGGCGAGTATCACTCCTGTCCAAGGTTTTAAGGAATCATCGGTGCCTCCTTTGTTTCCTTTTTCTCTTCTGAGATTTTCATAGTTAGAATGAAGAGGCCCTAACCTAGGGGAATTGGAGCCCCCAAAAAAGAGCTAGAGGAAATTATGCATTGCATGGAGAAAAACCAGCCAATCTACAAGCAGATATATTAGCATCGAATGTTATAAGGCTATCATATAGACTTGTCTGTAGTCTGCTATGCCTCAAAAATGTTGGGATTTAATATCAGATAGCTTTCACCTAATTCATAAATATGTAGAACAAATGATTGGGGGAGCAGTGGTCTCATTAGTTTAGCAGCTATGTTGCACAAGATTAGGGATTAGCAACTTCAGATTGAAAAGTTGAAGACCTTTATTACTTAGTGGCAAAATATCTGAGAAAACTAAAGCTATCTGTAATAATTCTGAAGACAAACCATGTCCTACTTAAGTCTGTAGCTTTAGGGAAGTAGTTGGAAAAGGTAACAAGGTTCATGTTTGTTAACTTTTATTTAATGTTTCAGAAAGGTGTTATTAAGAAAGAGAAAAGAGTCTCCAAAGTCTATTATTATATACTCTATGACCATGTGTATGCATTATTTAGCTCCCATTTATAAATGAGAATATGTAGTGAAATTAAAAATAAAATTAAAAAGAGATAATAATTGACTAATTCAGAACAGAGGTAGAAAAAAATAGTGGTGAGAAATTTGAAGCCACACAGTTTTGGGTAAGCCTAAAACTTCCAGTTACTAAACAGTAAGAGGTATTACTAGAAAAGGGATTTGCATGGCAAAGATCCACTAAGATATCTTAAAGAGAGCATATCAATCTTTTGGTAAATATTAAATTAGGAAACTTTTCTTCCCATCCATGCTAATTATTTCAGTTTGCATGAGAATTAAAAAAAGCCAGACTTGAAATTTAAACTAGAAGAAAATTTTGGTATGTTTACTGACATGTAATTGACTAATAGCAACTGGATCAGAAGTCTATTAAGCTCTGCAGAGAATAAAAATTGGCAAAGAAAAAAAGAAACAAAAACCTCATCTAAATGTCCTGCAGTTCTAAAACCTTCCTAGGTACCTAAATCTTTGGAACAGAAGGAAGTACCCCTCTCCCACACAGGATATATTCCTCAGTGCCCAATTCAGAAGTAATCATCAAGGATATTGTGACACGAAGAAACTCCTAAAGATTGGAATCAAATGCCTACAAAGAATGCCAGAGATCCTGAGGCTAATCAAATAAATCCCTCCTTTCTTAGCGCAGGGACTCAGAAGGAGTTCATTATTGCCAGGGACCAGTATGTATGTATGACTACTGTATGTCTCTTATTCTTTTATTTTAACATAGGCTATTTTTACCAAGATTATGTTGTCCTTAGTTTACCATTGCACATTGTGGGAGTTGGGTAAGGGGCAGGTAATTTATTTTTAGTGTATAAGTTTCCAAACCATGTGATACCAAATTTGAACATAAATAGTATGCTCTAACTGAAATACTGCACTTTGAGATATAGGAGTACCTGGGATAGACATTGGTTTTCTTTTTCGAGGTAACAAGAGAATATAGTGTGTGAGTTTAAATAAGACTGCAAATGATTTTTTATTGACCAGGAGGACAGACTGTGGAAGAAATGCTGATTGTTCCTCTTTAAATTCATCTCCTCTCTATTCTGAAAACATAGCTAGATTATATCTCTCAGGATTCCTTGCAGTTAGGGGAGACCATGTTGCAGCGTTTCTGCAATGGAATTTTGGCGGAAGTGATAAGTACAGCTTCCAGGTCTTGTGCAAACGTCTTCTATGCAATCGTATCCAGTATCTCTCTCATTCCACCAATTGGATGTGGATTTACAGAGCTTCTGTCAGCTGGGTCCTTGGTTTTTTATTATTTTTATAGCAATGCCAGTCCCCGTTCCCCTTACTGATCAGAAATAACCATATCGTACTTTGATATGAGTAAGATGTAACTTTGATTTTGTTAAGCTACTGAAATGCAGACATTCACTACAAGCAGAGTAGGTAGCATAGCTTCTCTATTAGGCTCCACTCATTTTAGTTCAATGCCCTCTTTTACCAGTATAAAAGTAGTGTTCTGGGAAAAAAGTATTCATTTCTTGAATATTATTCATTTTTATAATTTTCTTCTAAGAATTTTCATTTCATTGATCAAAATTCACAGTCTACAATGTGAATTTTTGGGACTAATGATGGTTTTAAGTTATAAGAAAATGTAAATGGAAAACAGGAAGGAGGAACAGGTAAATGAGATAAGAAATGTGGACAACAAATTCTGGTTTTATTTAGGGTTCACGTGGTCACTAGCTACAGGTTATGGTAGCAACCGAGTAAATTCAGTCTACTCAACAACTCATTTAAGAAGTTATCCTTACATTATACTGTATCTGAGGATGAAATGACTAGATATGAAGTAGTAACTGTCTACATTGTATTTTCCTGACTGCCTTTTATAGGCAATATAGTGCACACATTTCCTTAAATAAATAGATGGAACATATTAAGGTTAGGAATAGGACTCATTTCTCTCTAGGTGTATTCAGCTTAGCATATTTCTGGCAGGTGGATAAATATAGTAAGTGTTCAGTAATGACAACATATTAGAAAGGCATTCTGCTTTATTTTTCAGTAAGCCTATCCTCCAGTGATTTTTATGTTAGACTATCTTCAATACTTCTTTCACCAATATTTTGAAACTGGTTTGCCTTTGCAAACTGATTTCTCCATTGTCAAAGTACTATTTAAGGGATTGAGTAGCTGGGAAAATAAATTTTAAGTCTAATACTTATTCCTTTACCTGTAATGCAGGATCCTGGTCTTATTGAATTCTCTTTATTCGTGGTATGCTTCATTATGTGTCTGAACTGTGGGTATAAAAATTAGATCTTCTTACATTTGAAGACATTACTTTCCTTTTCTCCTGTTCTCTCCATCTTTTATTATTTTCTCGTTACCTGAGCAATATACAGGTTTTGCTGCGTGTTACCAGTGCTTTTCCTCTGTGGGATATCGCTAATGATGCTGCAACAGAGGTGTTGTCATTCTCACAGTAACACAAGAGAGCTGTGTGGTCTGGAGAGACGCAATGTACAGAAACGAGTTGGAAGCCACTGGAAAGTAAGGAGAAGGTCACATCAACCAATGCAAATGTTACATTTTCCAAAGGAGAACCAGGAGTATGTCCTTACGTGCTACCTAACAGAGACTTAAGAGAAATATTTCTTCAAATATTAATTCATATTCATCTTTTTTCTCCAATGTGGTAACCCAGAGATGAAGAAACAATACTACATTTGTTTTCTTTACCTTGGTAGTAAACTAAAATATTAATTCATTCATATGTTTTTAGTTAAAGTATTTATGAAATATATCACTCTTTTGTCATAGATCCACAGGCAATCAGATTTTTCATTTTAAAGATTAAAATAGGCCGAGCACGGTGGCTCACGCCTGTAATCCCAGCACTTTGGGAGGCCGAGGCGGGCGGATCATGCCAGGAGATGGAGACCATCCTGGATAACACGGTGAAACCCCGTCTCTACTAAAAATACAAAAAATTAGCTGGGTGTGGTGGCGGGTGCCCGTAGTCCCAGCTACTCGAGAGGGTGAGGCAGGAGAATGGCGTGAACCCGGGAGGCGGAGCTTGCAGTGAGCCGAGATCGCGCCACTGCACTCCAGCCTGGGCGACAGCAAGACTCCGTCTCAAAAAAAAAAAAAAAAAAAAAAAGATTTAAATATTGGTTAATTCATGTTTAATGATAACGTGCACATGGAATATATCACTATTTGTCATAGATCCATATGTAATACATTTTATTTTTGATTTTGAAGATGAAAATATTGAGGCTAGAAAAGTTGTTTAACTGTGCCAAGACAACAGCCTGAGTTAGAGGTAGACAGAGAATTGGAAGGCAAGTCTTTGGCATTTGTGTTTACTAGTGTGTGCATCCAGAAAACTTATTTAAAATCTATTTAGGGCCAGGGGCAGCGGCTCACACCTGTAATCCCAGCACTTTGGGAGGCCAACGTGGGTGGATCACTTGAGGTTAGGAGTTTCAGAACAGCCTGGACAACATGGTGAAACCCCATCTCTACTAAAAATATAAAAATTAGCCGGGCGTGGTGGCATGCCCCTGTGGTCCCAGCTACTCAGGATGCTGAGGCAGGAGAATAGCTTGAACCTGGGAGGCAGAGCTTGCAGAGAGCTGAGATCGCGTCCTACTGCCCTCCAGCCTGGGCAACAGAGTGAGACTGCATCTCAAAAAAAAAAAAATAAAATAATAAAATAAAATATATATATATATAGATATAGATATAGATATAGATATATATATATATATATATATTTAAGCAATGACTACAAAAAAGCTCAAAAAGCTCATTTCAAATGTGACTTCTTTCAGTGGTATTTTTTCTTCTTTCTAATATTAATGCAATCAAATATACCATAACAATACTTGCCTTTTCTCTGCTAATAACAAAATGTTGTCAGAATGAGTGTAGCATAAATCTCTATTCAAAGAGTATATGCCAACACAAAGGCATTCATACAACGAAAAAATTCTCTGGAGCATAGGTTGACATAGCAAAGATTATATGGAAGTAGAAATTGCCTGAATGAAACAGCTTTAGGATTTTGCAAAAAGAAGTATTTTTGGTTATTTTTATATTGTGTTTGTATATAAGTGTTTATTATATTTTAAACATTTCTATTTACAATCAGTAAATGTGGCTGAATTATAATCAAGACTTTGACATTCACTGACAAGATTTGTTTAAAAGTGTGACTTTATACTGTTATTTAGCCTAAGAAATTTAGGTATCCATTGTTTTATTTTGAACAAAACTAGATTTAAGTGAAGCAGCTCTGAATTGAAAGAACTAAGACACTGCTAACATTTTTCCTTTCCACATATTTACTTATCATTGATGAAGAAACACATTTAAATTTAGAGAATCTAATACTAACAACAATAAAATCTTATCTTCTCAGAGGCACAATCAATTCACCTTGTTAACTTTTTCTAAGACCAACAGTAAATTTCAATAAGGTTCTATTTTGTTTCCTCTAAACTAAAAGCAAATAGGTCTTCAAATTTTATTCATGGATGTTGAGAGAATCATACAAAAAAATCCTGTAATTTGCATGTAGAATACACAAAGCAGTTACATAAAATTTTAAAGGAAAATAACACTAAGCCATAGTTCTTAGTTTATTTAGACTTTATATTTTCAAAGTTTTAGTGGGAAGAATAGGGAAAACAGAAAAGTTACCATAAAGATAAGATCTTTAAATTTAGTGTGCATGGAGGTAAGCATGAGGCCGCTATTGGTTTCTTCTCATGCTGCTAATAAAGACATACCCAAGAATGGGTAATTTATAAAGAGATTTAATTGACTCAGAGTTCAGCATGGCTGGGTAAGTCTCAGGAAACTTACAATTATTGCAGAAGGTGAAGCAAACATGTCCTTCTTCACATAATGGCAGGACGGAGAAGTGCCAAGCAAATGGGGAAAAGCCCCTTATAAACCATCAGATCTTGTGAGAACTTGCTCACTATCACAAGAACAGCATGAGGGTAACCACCCCCATGATTCAATGAACTCCTACAACACCTGGAGATTATGGGAACTACAATTCATGATGAGATTTGGGTGGGGACACAGCCAAACCATATCAAGGTCCTTTGACATATGTTGACATACAGTATTTCTAAGAATTATTTTCAGAGGTTATTCTGCATATTTATAAATAACAACATCCATTTTCAGTGAGAAGAGCTCAATTACTCTGAAGGATGATCTTTTTAATTTCAGTGAAAGAATATATAAGAGGATATTCCCCATGTATTCAATAGTGCTGTTATGTTTTATTTGTTATCATCTATATAATGCAAAAAGAATAACACGCAAAGTTTATTTTTACCTTCTACTGCAATTTATTATATTCCTTTATGTAGATGGTTTCCAACAATCTTCTAGGTCTTCCGACAATGTGTACCTTCAAGTCTAGCTCAATATTAATGTTGTAAAGAAATGGTTATGGAAGACAAATAGAAAAATCAACTTGGAAAATGAATTTTAAAATCATGAAGTGAGAAAGAGGGAAATGAATGAGGTAGGCCTCCCCAGGATCATGCTACCATTTTGTTTATCTCTATCCATGTCGAATAAAGCCCACTTTCCAAATCCTTCATTGCTTTACTTGTAATTTTTTGTCTTCAATATTTTCTTCAAAGGATCAAAGCCAATGCATGTCTGCTTTGCCTGCAAGATAAATTTACCCTCACTTGTCTGGAAGGATTTGCATTTTTAAAAACTTGTGCAATGTAAGAATTATTTCATTTGGCTTGGGAGAATTGAAGATGAACTGGCTGTAAACCAGACGACCATTCCTTTGAAGTTTTCATCTTGTTGATGAAAAATATAGTCAAAATACAAGATGATATGTAAAGCAAAAAAGTTCCTTATGAACTTTTTATATTTGGTTAAATATAAACTGAAACAAAAATTCAAGCAATGCAGCCTAAATGAGTATTACATACATGGATTCTGAAGCCAGTCCTCCATGGTTTAAATCTTTATTTTGCCACCTGCTAGCTCTGTACCGTGAAATAATTTGCATAATATTTGTCTACCTCAGTTTCCTCACATGCAAAATAAAAATAATAATATGACTAAAGTACAAATTGAATATGGAAAATCATAAGCACTGTTTAGATGTAAGCTGTGTGTCTTCAAAAATAATGTCCTGCATAATATGTTAATGTAAATTATGCAAAACATATTAAATTATATTTATTAAGCACAAGAAGCATTTTAATTAGTTGTAATTAAGACATGCATCAGTGTAAACCTATGTGATATTTAATATACTGCATGTTCCAGTACAAATTGAGATGAAAAATAATTAAATGTATGGTTTACTGTCCAACATTTAAAAATCATATTTTTTTATATTATATAATTATGTTTTTCTTAGTTTTTCCCAACTCAAATGATTATCATCTTAATTCAGGTGAAACAGTTTGAGCTTTCAGGACAAGCATTTACAGAAATTACAAAACTCTCTTGAATGGCAACTTACTTTTTCCTTCTTAATTAGGAATGCTGCTCCCTTGTCTATGAATAGCTTCTTACCTCTGTGCATGTCAGCTTAAAAATCTCCTCAAAGAGACCTTTTTATGACCTTAGCTGAGCAACTATCATTCTTTGGTTTTGTTTAAAATGCTTTTAACACTGAAATCATCATATACATTCCACTGCACATTTGTTTTTTATGTTTACCACTATAAGCATATGGCAGTTTTGATCTTTCATCCTTCTATTCCCAGGGGCTAGCATAATGCCAGGCACAGAGTAAATGCTCAACAAATATTTGTTGAATGAATGAATACTCTCAGCTAATTATGATTGCTATTCTTACATTGCAACATTTGGTTTTGGCTGTTTGCTTCTCTTAGATTCCATCCAGAAAAATATTTTACCTTATATACAGCATTTTTATCTAAGACTGAACTGCCATTTCTCTCTTTCTCTTTGGTATTCTTTGGGTTGTTGTTGTTTTGTTTTACTGCATTGAACTTAGGTTCAGTGCTGCTGATCTAAGTTAATTGATGTTCCTACTTCCGAATGACCTAGAACTCAAAATAATTTATATGTAGTAGAGAAAAGCCTTTTATTTTTATCCAGAAGAATAAAAGTTAGATACAAAAACAGAATGCTCATTTTATGGAAAAACTAGAAAATAGTTTTTTTAAAATATAACACTATCTGCATTCTTATGACAGCTTTCATTAATCTTAAAAACCTCTGCCAATGGCTGCCACTTTTTATTGAACTGTTGCCTATTATAACTCAATGTTTAATTATATACATTTTACCAAGTGATGGTTAATCAATCTATAACTGTATATGAGTTCCATGCCTAAACAACAACAATAATGATCTGTTCTATTGTTTCTACAGTTTTCTAAGTATTTCATTAGGGAAAAATATTGTCTTTTAATGTGCTTCTGTGGCTTTCCTTCTATTGCTTATTTTTACTTAACTAGATGCAATATGCATATCTAATTACCATCACTAAGCACAAGGTCAATCCAAGGTTGTCTTCATTCTCTTCATCTATATCTATTTATATGCCACCTTTTCAGACATCCATGCTAATACACAGAAGTAGTGATGCAGAGACATTATGTATTAATTTGCTAGGGATGTCATAACAACGTACCACAAACTGGATAGATTAAACAACAAAACATCATCTCACAGTTCTGGAGGCTAGATCAAGGTGTTTTCAGGCTTGGTTGCTTCTGAGAAATATGATGGAGAATCTGTTATATGCCTCTCTCCTGGCTTCTGATAATTTTTTAGAAATCTTTGATGTTCCTGGGCTTGTAGATACATCATCTCATCTCTTCTTTCATGTTATTATGGCATTCTCTTTGTGTGCATGTTTGTCTCTTCAAATTTCTCATTTTCATAAGGCCATCAGTCATATTGGATTAACAGCTTACCCTACTCCAATGAAACCTCACCTTATTACATCTATAACGACCCTATTTCCAAACAAATTCATATTTTGCAATATTGGAGGTTAGAACTTTATCATATGAATTTTTAGGTGAAACAATTTAACCCATAAAACATTGTGCAATTCTATAACTGATATGTAAATATAGGATACTCAGATTGACTTTATCTGATAAAAGGATGCTCTTTAAAGAGTGCAAAAATGTTAAACAGTCATCAGTCATTTAATCAGACTGATCAAAAATCAGTATGTTTTTGGCTAAAATACTTTTCTGTCTTCAAATAAATAAAAAACCTTAACACTGCCTACTTACCTTTTGGACACAGTCTTTTTAAGTTATACATTTGTTTATGGGTTGACATATATCTATGACACACAGGCTTATATTTCCCACTCCTTTTTCCTACTCTGTAGCTGTAAGGAAGGAAAATGTCAGAAGCTTCATTTTGTTGGTATAATTGTACTATGAAGTCATTCTTTACATTTTCATAATTAATATTTCTTATTTATAATCCTCTTACACTACCACTTTTGTTTCAGTTTTTAACTTCTGCTCCTCCAGTTTTAACTTTATTTTCCTTCTGATTTTTTTCTTCCCAGTGGCATGTACTGCTATGTAAATTCAATTAGCAAATAGTATGTGGCTACACAACTCAAGAGGTAAGAAACTCTTAAAACCTAATTATAATGCACTTATTATATACACAAAAAAAATAAAAATTTTAATTAAAAAAACATAACTGTGACATATTACTCTCAGGTAACTGTTAGCAGTAGCTGGCCTTTAAAAAAAGACTCATAAGCAAGACTTTGATAATTCATTTACCTTAATCATATACAAAATAGTCAAGAAGATGGCTGGCCTTGACATGTGAAAATCATTGATTTAATGAAGCTAGAAAACGTCTCTTTTTAAAATTATGAATTCTTTATTCAAATAAAGAACTAGAGTTGTGTGTTTCAATAAAGAAAAAACCTCTGTAATTTACTAAAAATGAAAAAAATAGTGATGAAATCACTCAAGCACTTAGAAACCAGATGTCTAAAAAGTTATAGATTTATGAAATATGCTATATTTTAGAAGAAATAGGCCCTAATCTCTTGCTTGAAAACAATATACTGTACAGTTACACTGTGTTTTTTTTCCTACCTGTGCGAATATAACCTATCAAGTTAATCACTGGCAATGCTTTGTGATATGGTTTGGCTCTGTGTCTTCACCCAAATCTCATCTCGAGTTGCAATCCTCATAATCCCCATGTGTCTAGAGAGGAACCTGGAGGGAAGTGATTGGATCATGGGGGCGGTTACCCCCATGCTATTCTGGTGATAGTGATGAGTTCTCATGAGATCTGGTGGTTTTATAAGGGTTTCTTCCCTCTTCATTCCTCACTCTTCTCTCTCCTGCCACCATGTGAAGAAGGTTGTTGTTTTCCCCTTCGCCTTCTGCCATGATTGTAAGTTTCCTAAAGCCTCCCCAGCCATGTAGAACTATGAGTCAATTAAACCTCTTTCCTCTATAAATTGCCCAGTCTCGGGTAATATCTTTATAGCAGGGTGAAAACAGACTAATACACTTTGGTAAAGATCGGTAAAATGAGAATCTGCACTTCTGTTAATATATCTGTTCACCATTTTTTTTTTCCTTTGGAACACCATAGGGATAGTTAATACATAACAATCAACATTCTTTAGGTTAACAGTGGTAAGTTACATGGTAGTTTAATTTGAAGTCTCCAACCTTTTTAGATTTTAAGCACTATTTTATAAGTGCACTTAATGAAGTCAACAATCATCAAACAGAGAACCGAAATGTCAGCATGGACTAAATCTGAAAAATTGCTCATTATTCACTGTCAAAGTAGCTTATGAACTTTTAATAGACAAGCCCTCAAAATTTGAGAATAAAATAATTAGAACAGATGAGACTGGTCTAAGTGATGGGGTGATGTATTTCAATTCTATGCCTTTATAATTTTATAAAATAATATATATAAATTTCAAAATAATCTGTTTATAATAAGGTCTTTGACCTTTAGTATTTGTATCTTTTATTATCCATGCTTATTTATGTCACTAATTTATAGATCAAGATGAGTCAGTCTTTTGCCTTTTCAGAACTAAAGGTATAATATTAAGTGTAAATATTGAAACCTTTACAGAAGACAGGTGTTATTTATTAAATATGCTTATTTTTCAAATTTTCTGCTCCTTTTCAACTCTGTATAACCTTTCACTTACCCCTGCTGATGCTCTGATGTTCCAGGGGTCACACCTGTTCTTAAGGAAGTGTGGGAGGGAGTGGGTTGGGAATTTGAGAGAAACACCTGGGTGAACTTTGCTGTAAGGGATCTTTATATGTTGCTCAGTCTTTTCACCTCCTGCCCCATTGCCTTCTCTGTTGACAACAGCAGCATGCCTCTTGCTGCCCCATGGGTTAGAATTCTTCCTTACAGGCAAAATAACAGCAAACAGCTCTACTTTAAGAATACTGAGCAGTTTTTGCTTTCAATAAAAAGCTCAACACTAAGAATACAAACATAAGGAAGGGATTTTGTTATAAAATGATACATAAACATTGAAACATAAAGTATGCATTTTTAGGAGAAGGAACATCAAGGATTTATTCTTAGCATCCGAAGTAGTATAATCTTCAGCAAGTTATTTAAGATATTGGAACTCATTATCTTTATACATAAAATGCTGTTCAACTAGATGATGTATTATATCCAGTTCCTCTAGTCTGTTTCTAACTCCATGGCATTTCAAGATGTGTGGGCAGTTATTAGTTTCCAAGTGATGATTCTTCACCCCACCTTCCCCAAAACACAACTCAATGGCTTTACCATTAAAACTCTGCTGCCTTTGATACTAAAGCCATTGGAGGAGTATGGTATAATATTGCTACAGAACTGAAGGTGAGGAATTGATTTCAAAAAATAAGTAGTGGTGAATTGATTAAGCTTAAGTAAACAGATGCTAAGGAACCAAAATACCTGCTTGTATGATGATACCTGCTTTAACACTTTAACACTTTCCCTCTTCTCTGGTACTGTGTCTGACATTTTGTCAATTAGATATGCATTGGAGTTACCCAAACTTTTCATTTAAATACATCCATTAAAAATGATTTTAATACTAAAGTAGGAAGAATGTTTAATGTAACTGTTTTCTTGATCTTATGAAATAGATGGAATAAAGGCTATGAACAATGGTTTTACCACCAACTAACCATCTGTCCAGTGTGTATAATGTGCCAGTGTTTACTAAGCCATGTGTATCATCTCACTAAAAACTCACAAAGATCATATGGAGTAGAAATAATTATCCCCATTTTACAGATGGTCAGATAGCTAAGCCAAAGATCATCATGTTTATATAGTTAATCTGTGGCCACAAGAGCTAATAAATAAAACAAATGATATTCAAATAAAAGTATAACTCTAAATCTTATGTTTTGGCTGCTATTAAATGTTAATATATTCAGATAGCAAGGGTTTACAATACTGCAGGAAGTTTGAACAATATCATATTTATTTAATATGATATATATATTTTCTTGAATTGAATTCTTGAATTTTAGCCTGATTACATAAACATAGTTTCTACATCATTAGAGTCTTTCTAAACATAATTTAATTGATGCCTGTATTAGCTTTCTGTTGCTTCTGTAACAAATGGTCACAAATTTAGTGGCTTAAAACAATACAACTTTCTTATCTTACAGTTTTGAGAGTCAGAAATTCGTGTTGCTGAGATAAAGTGAAGATGTTGGCAGGGCTGCATTTATTTCTGGCGGCTCTGGAGAGAATGTCTTTCCTTGCCTATTCCATCTTCTAGAGATGGCCTGCATTGCTTGCCTCATTATCACTTCCCTCATCTTGAAATCCAGTGGGTTAAGTCCTTCTCATATTGCATTACCCTGACTTACACTGCTGTCTCCATCTTCCACTTTTAAAAACCCTTGTGAATACATGGAGGTCACCTGGAGAAAATATAAAATTTTAGCATCCGATGATTAACAGCCTTAATTCTGTCTGCAACTTTAATCCCCCTTTGCCATGAAACCTAATATGGTCATAGGTTCTGGCAATTAGGACATGGGCATATTTGGAGAGTGGGGCGTTATTCTGCCTTCCACAATGGCTAAAATGATATTTTCAACCTCTATCCTAATAATTTATACTGCCATTGTCCTATGTCTGAATAAATTTTATTAATGTTGAGATTGTTACCTTATGATATATACCTAAAAGAAGATAAAATTTCAAACACATATACATACGTTATATATTACTTGCCTGACACAAATTTCCTATTTCTTGAGGTCATAATTGTGTCTCATAGGTTAGTCTTTAGAACATGTTGTAATTTTTAATTTTGATGTATTTTTCAAGATCTCTGTAAATTTGTGAATATATTTATGTGGATTTGCTACATGAGAGCTTAAATACTAAGTGCATATAGTTATAATGCACTTAGATTTGTAAGAATACCATATTTCCCCATCCCAATGGATTGGCCATTGATGGTGTTTTCCATTCTGGTTTCGTAGTCCTGCTTTTTGATATTGTATGCATTTTACTTTCCAAGTGTCTTCATGGGCATGTTAGTTAAAAGCTAATAGATGCTTATTAGTTGTTACTAACCACCCTGTACTCTGAAATGTGTCCTAATTCAGAACAGGAAAATTTATTTGTGTTTTTGAATTGTGTACAACATGTAGCTCATTCAAATTAAGTATATCCTGTTATAAATGAGAGTTAAACATGGCATAATGTTCATCTTACCTGAACTGCCTACTTTTGGTTCCAGAATCAAGTCAACTGTAGTAGTAGTCAGGTGAAGTCCATGCAGACATATTCCTACTCTGTAATAATAACTCAGAGATTTGTTAGCTTTATATTTTGTGAACAAAATAAAAATATTAGTTTTAAATCATAAACTCCCAACAAGGAATAAAATATATGTATTTATTTATCTGATATGTTATTGAGCATGAAAACTAAATTTTTGATGAGAATTGCCATTAACATTCAGTTGTAATTTACCAAAACACATGAAAGGCATTTGGCTAACATATTTTTTGTTATTGTTCTGGTTCATTCATATTTCTCTTCTTGATTTGTTTTTGTTCTGTTGATCTTGTGTTCTTGTACAACACTAATGAGATTTGGGCTATCACTTTCCTATATGAGTATTCTTATTACTCTTTAATTAAAATTTAGATTTCTATATCTACATTGCTTAAAATTCACTTTGAGTTTGTATCTTCAGAAATTATTCTCTTAGGAGAATAAACTTCTCTCTAATATGAGCTGCAAAGTCATTGCCTCTAGCTACTCATTAGTAGAAAAGAATTCCTTATTCACATTGTCTTGACGTTGCCTGTATATCTCTGAACCATCTCTACCAGCTGGATCCGTGCTCTACATGCATTTTGTTGCTAGTAATTGTCTTGCAAATTCATCGCCTTTTAGAAGAAAGAGTAACTTTGTTGAAAATTCGTTCTTTTTGTTTAAATGTGTTCATTCTGACTATTCTTTGGAAACTACCAATCTTATTGACAAAATGCTGCAGCTAAAAATGAAAAGTTAGTGTCCACCATCAGGGCTGCAATATGCTGTTGTTCCAACTGTAACACTCTGTAACACAAAGGGGAACTACTGGACACACAGACATCATTGTTTATATATTTATTGGAACAATTTTTGGGATGGCATTCATGTATCTTTGTACCAAAATCAATATTTTCTGACAATGATTTGATATATGGAAGTGTCTTAGGGAAGATACATTTTTTGAAATTTTTGATCAAAGAATCATATGAGTTAACATTGGCCCTCACTATTATAGCAAGGATGTTGGGACTGCATTTATTCAAATACATTTAGGCAGAAAGCACAACAAAGTAGTTGAGAGCATGGTCTCATTTGGAATCAGAAAGACTGGGTTCAAATAATGTTTCTTTTTGTTTGTTTGTTTTGTTTTCCCTACAGTTATGTAACCTTGGAATATATATTTAACCATTGAGAAATTTGGTTTTCTCATCTGGAAAAATGGGAACAGATAACAAAATTGTTATAAGGCAAGACAAAATCAATGGATCATGAAATATGGGCATACGTTGGTAAAAATGGGAGGTAAGTATATGCTGCTAGGCCAGCAACCTGGGAGACTAAGGGAAAGAGTTGCATTTTGAATGTGTATCATGTGCATGCATATCATATTTAAATAAATAAATAAATAAAAATAGCATCATTTTTAAATGATGCTGTAGGTAGAATACTTATCAAAGTGGTTAGCATGCAGTAAACATGCAATGGCAACTCCTAGACATGCATCCATGGCAATTAGAAACATTGACCCAAATGGCCAGAACTGCTGGATGATTAGAGAAATAGGATTTGATAACTGAAAACTATGGGGAGAAGTCTCAGAAGCGGAGGCTTTGAGTGTATTCTATAGAACGAGGTATTATAGATATGAGTAAAGTCCACTGCTTCCTCTGATCTTTTTCCTCTGACCTAAAGACCTTTGATATTTTGGTGCCCAGAAAAAAAAAAGTAGAAAATACATCTACCTAACACCAGTTTAATCTCAAACGATCCACAGAAGTTTTTGAGACAGAATACCTGATTGACAGCAGATGTGGAAGTCTGGAAAAATAAACTGAATGAGTCATAACTTGGATGTGACTATTGTGTATAAAACTACATCTTTCAAGCATTTTGTTACTTTAAGTTTTTAGTGTTTTAATATTATGCACTTTTTAATCCTCTTTTCTCAAAGCAGTTTCCATGGATCATCAGAGATGGGATGTAGCCCAGGAAAAATGTTTAGTCACAGCCTAATGTGGGTCTAGGGGAACCTTTATAATTAGACATGTAGGAATATTTGTGTGGCATGTTGGATTTTCCACAAGCAGCTAGGTTTGAGATGGATTTGGGGCATAAAATATTTATTATTGGCACCTGTGAAATAAAAGAGGGAGAAAAGGATTGAGCAGAGGGAGAAATTAAATAGTGATGTAGCTCTGACAAAGCTTTAACCAGCCAAGTAGGTAGCTGTGAATTGAGTGCTGCCCGACAGTTTCCCCAGATTGGGTTAAAATGGCTGGGCCTTTATAACCCACCTTGCTCATTCAGTGGATATAAGCAGCTCACTCTCTCCTTTTCAACCCCACACACGAAGGCCTCAGGCAAAGGTAGTTAAGTTAGACTTGAAGAAGCTGATAACTGGATACTGATGACTGCACTTCAGCAGCCAGGCATCAAGTGTGGATGGATGCTGTGGGAACACATCTCTGTGACTTTCACTCTCATATTAGAACTCTAAAATGACTTTGATAAACAAAAACTCAACCAAATGCTGTACTTCCACAAGTCTTGAGTATTTATATTTCAATTGTTCATTATCCTCATGAAAACCTTATTCATTTTCATTTGTAAACCCAAGAAAGATATCATAATAATAAAGATATAATAATAATAATAATAATAATAAACTATGTATGTTTTTAAATACCTGCCAGGTGTGTGTGATCCATGTTTTCAACCCAATATTTAGACAGACACTCCAGAATGTCTCTTTATTTCTCTTGATAAAATTGTTTCTCATTTTTTGCAGTTTCTCTTTTATTTCCTTTTATTATATAGATATATAATCTTGATCCCATACTTTTTCAAGTAAAACTAAGAAAGGTAATGCACTTTTATTTAAGTATATTTGAAAGAATAACAGAATTTACTATATAGAAAAAATCTATAGTAATATGATCAATTATCCTGGTCCAGAGAAATGTTTTAAGTTTATAAACTTGAAATCTAAGGCTAAAATAAGCTCTTTAAAATTATATGCATTAGGTTTTATATTTGAATAAATTATTTTTAAATAACATGTGAAGAGCTTATTTTTCAAAATGAGAGCCTGTTTCCCTGGAGGAAGAGAGAAGTTCTCTTTTTTCATATTTTAATAAACAAAAGTTTACACCTAACATTGGCAGCAAATATCCCCAGTGATATGGTTTGGTTTTGTCCCCACCCTAATCTCATCTTGAATTATAATCCACATAATCCCCACATGTTGTGGGAGGGACCCCATGGGAGGTAACTGAATCATGCGGGTGGTTTACCCCATGCTGTTCTCCTGATAGTGAGTGAGTTATCCTGAGATCTGATGTTTTTTCTAAGCATCTGGCATTTCCCCTGCTGGCACTCCTTCTTTCTCCTGCTGCCCTGTGAAGAGGTGCCTTCCGCCATGATTGTAAGTTTTCTGAGGCCTCCCCAGTCATGCAGAACTGTGAGTCAATTAGACCCTTTTCTTTATAAATTAACCAATTTCAACTGTTTCTTCATAGAAGCATGAGAATGGACTAATACAGTAAATTGGTACCGGGACAGTGGAGAGAGGGTGATATGGTTAGGCCTTGTGTCCCCACCTAAATCTCATCTTGAACTGTAATTCCTATAAACCCCGAAATCCCCACATGTCAATGGAAAGACCAGGTATAGGTAATTGAATCACGGGAATGGTTTCCCCTATGCTGTTCTTGTGATAATGAGTGAGATCTCACAAGATCTGATGGTTTTATAAGGGGTTCTTTTCCCTGTGCTCAGCACTTCTCCTTCCTGCCACCTTGCTTTCACTTTGCCTTCTGCCATGATTATAAATTTCCTGAGGCCTCCCTAGCCATAGTGAATTATGAGTCTATTAAACCTTTTTCCTTCAGAAATTACCCAGTCTTGGGCAGTTTTTTTAGCAGTATGAAAATAGGCTAATACAATACATTGGTACCAGGTGTAGGGCACTGCTGTAAAGATACTCAAAAATGTGGAAGTGACTTTGGAACTAGGTAATAGGCACAGATTGGAACAGTTCCAAAAGCTCAGAAGAAGACAGGAAAATATGGGAATGCTTGGAACTTCCTACAGACTTGGAGGACTCAGAACACAGGAAGATGTGGGAAAGTTTGGAACTGCCTAGAAACCTGTTGAATGGCTTTGACCAAAATGCTGATAGTGATCAATGAAGTACATGCAAAGGTGGTCTCAGATGGAGATGAGGAAGTTATTGGGAACTGGAGCAAAGGTCATTCTTGCTAAGCTTTAGCAAAGAGACTGGTGGCATTTTGCTCCTACCCTAGAGATCTTTGGAAACTTGAACTTGAGAGAAACTGAAATTGGAATTTATGTTTAAAAGGGAAGCAGAACATAAGTGTTTGGAAAATTTGCAGCCTGACAATGCAATAGAAGATAAAAATTTATTTTCTGGGGAGTAATTCAAGCCCACTGCAGAAATTTCCATAAGTAAGGAGGAGCCAAATGTTAATTACCAAGACAATGGGGAAAATGTCTCCAGGGCATGTCAGAGGTCTTCATGGCAGACCCTCCCATCACAGGCCCAGAGACTTAGGAGGGAAAAATGGTTTCCTGTGCTGCGCCAAGGGCCCTTCTGCTGTGTGCAGCCTCAGGACTTGGTGCCCTCGTCCCAGCCCCTCCAGCCATGGCAAAAAAGGGGCCAAGGTACAGCTCAGGCTGTTGCTTCAGAGGGTGCCAGCCCCAAGCCTTGTCAGCTTCAATGTGGTGTTGGTCCTGTGCACAGAAGACAAGAATTGAGGTTTGGAAAACTCTATCTAGATTTCAGAGGATGTATGGAAATGCCTGGATGTCCAGGCAGAATTTTGTTGCAGGGGTGGGACCCTCATGGGGAACCTCTGCTAGCACAGTGCAAAAGGGAAATGTGGGGTCGGAGCCCTTACAGAGAGTCCCTACTAGGGCACTGCCTAGTGGAGCTGTGAGAAGAGGGCCACCATCCTCCAGACCCTAGAAGAGTAGATCCACTGACAGCTTGCAACCTGCACCTGGAAAAGCCACAGATAATTAATGCCAGCCTGTGATAGCTGCCTGCTGGGAGGGGGCCAGTACCCTGCAAAGCCATAGGGGCAGAGCTGCCCAAGTCCATGGGAGCCCACTTCTTGCATCAGCATGACCTGGATGTGGGGCATGAAGGCAAAGGAGATCATTGGGGAACTTTAAGGTTCAATGACTGCGCTCTTGGATTTTGGACTTGCATGGGGCCTGTAGCCCCTTTGCTTTGGCCAATTTCTCTCATTTGGAACAGGTGTATTTACCCAATGCCTGTACCCCTATTCTGTCTGGGAAGTAACTAACTTGCTTTTGATTTTACAAGCTCATAGGTGGAAGGGACTTGCCTTGTCTCAGATGAGACTTTGGACTTGGACTTTTGGATTAATGCTGGAATGGGTTAAGACTTTGGAGGATTGTCGAGGAGACATGATTGTATTTTGAAATGTGAGGATCTGAGATTTGAGAGAGGCCAGAAGTGGAATTATATGGTTTGGCTGTGTCCCCACCCAAATCTCATCTTGAATTATGATCCCCATGATCCCCACATGTTGGGGGAGGGAACCAGTTGGAGGTAATTGAATCATGGGGGCATTTTCCCCCATGCTGTTCTTGTGATAGTGAGTTCTCATGAGATCTTATGGTTTTATAAGCATCTGATATTTCCCCTGCTGGCACTCCTTCTCTCTTCTGCTGCTCTGTGATAGGTTTCTTCCACCATGATTGTATGTTTCCTGGGGCCTCCCCAGCCATGCAGAACTGTGAATCAATTAAACCTCTTTTCTTTGTAAATTACACAGTCTTGGTTATTTCTTCATAGCAGTATGAGAACCGACTAATACACCTAGTTGAGCATATATAGTTTATTTTTGGGGGAAAAAAGAAAAAAAGAAAAAAAAGATAATTGACTGCTCAGATGGTGACAGCTTTTTCTTTGGCTTTCTTCAGTAACATTTCTGACATTTCTTTGACCATTCCAAAACTTCATGAGACCCTTCAGTCAGGAGTTTCACAGGAGTAGGCAAGCATGAAATTAATTTCCCAAAATGAAGTAGCTTACAGGTGCCAGAAGATCCCATAACTCAGTAATACTGGTAAATCCCTAAATTAGTTATTTCGCTTCTTGGGTTTTTGTTGCTATCGTTGTTATTGCTCTTGTGATTTAACTGGGTGAATTTCTTCAATTTTTGGTTTCTTATATCAAAAGAGTGGATTACATATTTTTAGAACAAGGAAACCACTGTTTATTGGTGTGTGTGCATGTATGTGTGTGTTTTAATTTTCTGGCGAAAATCCTTCTCAGTAAGACCTACTTATCCAGGTATATACCTATTTTTTAATGTTACTAAGGGATATTGTCCCTTCATATTGCATTCAAAATTGTTCTAATCCTTTCATTATAATCCTGCAGGAAGGGTAGTATGCAGAGTTGTTGCCCTATAGCTGTAATTCCTATTCTGAGGAATATAAATTCTGATCTCTGTATAAAATCTTGAAGGAATTCCACAAGAAGGATTGTACTATGCTATACCGGTTTCTCATTTACAGATAAAAGTATCAGATTAACTATGTTAAAAATATGTAATTTTTAGTAATGCAATCATTTAAACCTAAATTTTAGTATATGTTTATTGACCTAAATATAATATTTTATCTTAGCTCTTGCTAAGTAATTGTCATCAATTATTTTAAATGAGTCACAATCAAGTATTTAGAATAGTGAGTGGGTGCGTGTGTGTGTGTGTGTGTGTGTGTGTGTGTATAGAGGATTCTCTATTGATTTGGGGCCATCATGGGTAATTTGGAGGTCATTTGTTAAGATTCTTCCTGTGAGTTTCATCTCTCATCTTCATTTACATATTATCAGCTATAAAACACTGACAGATATTTTGCATAATGTAGTGAATTATTGTGGCCACAAATCAGAAATTAAAACAAATTGTGAATATAAGACTTTCTGAACTAATCATGTGTAATGACTCACTCTTCTATTCTGATTAAGCACTAACAGTTTCCTTTGTCAGCATGAAAGGATATGAAACCTCAGAGATAAATGGTAACCCAGTCTAAGTCCATCTCTCAAAGAGACCAATGGGCCATCAACCCATCCTCTGTTCATTTCTCTAAAACCTTAGTATATAATTGGGATGGATATTGAGTTGGAACAGTCTTTACATTTATACCAAGACCAGTGGAATAAAAAGAAAATGGAAGATCCAAGTGGAAGCCCTAATACTACACTTCCTCCACCTAGATCTAGGTAATAAATCAGAAGCAATATTGTATTTAGACAGATGGCAGAAGTTAGTGCCATTCTTATAGATTTATAAGATGCAGTGTTAATGGTCCGTCATATCTCAGTTTCCTACATAAAGAATAAGTTATTGTACCTTGCATCTGCTACTACAAAGAAATAGGTAACAGTACTTGGCATATTTCTGTGAATTCTGAAGACTGCACATGCTACGTGCAGGAATATGGCTCCAATCTATTTATTAGTGCCTTGAAGAGTTGTCGGTTCTGAGTAGCGTGAAGCGGAAGAAAGGATTCTGCAAGAGATTCAAGACATTTGCGGCCCTGCCAATTAAACCATATGGCTCAGGAGATCTCAAGTTGCTGGAACTGTCCATATTAAATAGGAATGCTTTTTCGTGTGCCGTGCAAGTTTAATCTCCTATGAAGAACAGAACCATAGTTTCCGTAAGTTTGTACCATGTTTTCTAAGGAAGTCCATACCATCAGCAGCAGAAAACTGTTCCTTATGTGAAAAGCACCTCCTGATATGCTACTGGACTCTAGTAGAGACTGAATGTCTAGATATGAGACAACAAGTAACTACAGTTAGAGTTGATCATGTGCTGGGTACTGAGTATAGCAGACCAGTCACGTCCAAGTCTTTGGAAAAAAGCATTAACTCACTGTATAAAGGAAACAGTGCATAGATATTTGGTCCTGCAACGATTAAGTGTACACAAGTTAGTTTAACAAACAAGTGGCTTGTGCACCCATATCACCAGCCTCTGTTACAAGTCTCCCCAAAATCAGATTATATTATGGTCTGTGATGTCTTATGTATGACCAGATAATTGAAAAAGGAGAAGAAAGAAAGGTCTGGTCTGGTTTAGAGATAGCTTGGCTCAATACTATGCTACAGGAGAAAAAGTATCTGTTGCTGCCCAAAGCATTACTTAGAGGTGGCCCTGCAAGAACATGTTGAAGAAAAAAATCCCAGTATATAGAGTTCTGAGCAACACACCTGCGCATAAACTTGATATAGCTGGAGAATAGCTTGAGGCAATTCCTAAGCTGTAACTGTCTTGGCTGGTTAGTCAGGAGCCAGGAAGGAAGAGTAGTAGAAATCAGAGGCAATGTATCCTGGAAAGGAAGCAAGTAGATGGTCTACAGGAGTGCGCACAGACTGTAAAAATGTTTTATTTCTCATCAGCACCCACCAGGGAGAATCTCTCCCACAGAATACCCTACAAACCATCCAGTAGAGTTCAGCCAGCCACTATCCTCAGCCATCCCAGGACTGAAAAATAAACTGATAATGTTATAGCTATTATAAGGGATGAAAATTTGGCATGCTCTGATGGGAAGTATTTCTCTTACCAAGGCTTCTTCTGTAGCATTTACCTCTGTTTATTGTTTCAAATACTTGGCGACAAGTTAATTGTGTTAAATCCCTTCCTTTCTGGGGTCAGGAATTCATTTTGACTTAGATTAAGACTTTATATAGGTTTATCTTTGCCTTTTTTGCCTTCAGGCTTTAGTATTACAATAATATCCAAGGGTTCATAAAATGCCTCATTTATCATTATATGATCCCATATAACATTGTCTTTCATAGGAAAACGTTCTTTTCAAAGGAAAACATTCTACTTAAAAAGAGATGCAACAGTTGACCAATTACTATGGTTATATATTTGAAGCAGTCAGCCCCGGAGAATCCACCAGCTTTGGGAAGGTACCCTGCAGTTTAGACTGATGTTCTTCAAGTCTGTTATTTCATGGCGATCTGTCCCATATAAGTATAACATACATGTCCAGGGCACAATAAAAGGATGTAGCAATGGCCCCCCTATTGCCATAAGTCCTACTGGGAAATTTTTAATTCCCATTCACAATATTAGTATTTGCTGGGCTAGAATCCATTTCCCAAGGAGGATATTTGTAGGAGGAAACAAAATAAGATTTTACCTAGAAGTAAAATTATACCTGTCACCTGAATTTCTTTTTTTTTTTTTAGATGGAGTCTCACACTGTTCACTGTCTCCCGGACTGGAGTGCAGTGGCAAGATCTTGGCTCACTGCAACCTCCTCCTTCCAGGTTCAAGCGATTCTCCTACCTCAGCCTCCTGAATAGCTGGGATTACAGGCACCCGCCACCATTCCCGGCTAATTTTTTGTATTTTTAGTAGATACAGGCTTGTCTTGAACGCCTGACCTCATGATCCACCTGCCTGGGCCTCCCAAAGTGCTGGGATTACAGGCGTGAGCCGCTGTGCCTGGCCTGTCACCTGAATTTCTAATACCTGCAGAAAAGTAGGTGAAGAAGGGTGTCACTATACTGGCAATAATGACCCTGCTTATCATAAGGAGATAATCATAATGAGGGCAAGGTTATGCCTGAAGTTCTGAGAATTCACTGGGGTAAATCTTGATGTTTCCACGCTTGTTGATCATTGTAAATGTGCAATTGTAGTGACTAAAGTTAGACAAGAGATAGTGTTGGGGCAAGCAACAAGGAGCAGCTAAAGTGGTAGGCAAGCGTATGGGGAATCAAGAATAGGTAGTAGAGGAAGGAGACTGGGAATCATCAGTTGCAACTTCAGAAACATTGTATCAATGCAGACTCTTGTTCTATTTACTGCATTATAACTGGTTGAAGATTGTTGTAAAAGGTTGGTTGCAAGTCAGTTTTTTTCCTCACTTCCTCTTTCCTTACTTCCATCCCTCCCTTCCTCAATTCTTTTCTTCCGATGTATATAGAGTTCCTTCCCTCCCTGTCTCACTCGTATGTTCTTTCTTCCTTTATTGTTAATTGTGAATAGTTACTACCTTGGAAGAATCAATAATAGGATGAACTGAATTTATTTATTTATTTGTTTATTTTTGAGACAGAGTCTCGCTCTGTCACCCAGGCTGAAGTGCAATGGCACAATCCTGGCTCACTGCAACCTCTGTCTCCCAGGTTCAAGCAATTCTTCCACCTCAGCCTCCCAAGTAGCTGGGATTACACGTGCACGCCACCACACCCAGCTAATTTTTTTGTATTTTTGTAGAGACAGGGTTTCACCATGTTGGCCAAATGGTCTTGAACTCCTGACCTTGTGATCCGCCCGCCTCGGCCTCCCAAAGTGCTGGGATTACAGGCGTGAGCCACCGTGCCCGGCCAAGATGAACTGAATTTAATACGAGGTATGTACATGTTCTGTGCAGCGTAGCAGGTGATGTCAATGTCCTTTTGGTAACTATCATCTTTATCATTCCAACTGCCATCACTGGCATGCTACTGCTCGGGGTTTTTCTTGCTTCTAGAGACCGCTTTTCCACTTTGCCACCACTATGACACACTGGGAGTGCTGGGATCTTGCAGACACGTTGAAATAGCTCGGAAGCAATGACAGATGGGAGTTGGTATATAAATAGCCTGCTTTCTTGCTGCTCAGGCGGGGTAATTTGGAATCAGGTGTCTTAGGCCAGCTGCTAGTTTCCCCAGTGGAATTAAGTTCAAATTGCTAACTTTATAATACTTACTTTATAGGGTACCTTCTTTTTGCTTTCTGGTTCCATTTCTTCACAAGTGTTCTCTTTACTTTAAAAGTAAACCGTTAACATTCAGTTGGTTGTCTCTAGTTCTAGGTCTTGAAAAACTTCAATGAAGACATTACCTTTCTGTAGGGTCCGGCCCTATGGGGCTTAGCGGATGCTCTCCCCGTGTGCAGAGACGAGAGATTGTAATAAATAAAGACACAAGACAAAGAGATAAAGAGAAAGCAGCTGGGCCCGGGGGACCACTACCATCAAGACACGGAGACCGGTAGTGGCCCCGAACGACTGGGCTCACTGATATTTATTGCTTACAAGACAAGGGGGGCAGGATAAGGAGGGCGAATCTTCTAAGTGATTGACAAGGTGAAGCAAGTCACGTGATCACAGGACAGGGGGCCCTTCCCTTTTAGGTAGCCGAATCAGAGAGAGAAGGCAGCATACATCAGCGTTTTCTTCCATGCACTTATAAGAAAGATCAAAGACTTTAACACTTTCACTATTTCTTCTACCGCTATCTACTACGAACTTCAAAGAGGAACCAGGAGTACCGGAGGAACATGAAAGTGGACAAGCAGCGTGACTACTGAAGCACAGCACCGCAGGGAGGGGTTTAGGCCTCCGGATGACTGTGGGCAGGCCTGGATAATATCCAGCCTCGCACAAGAAGTTGGTGGAGCAAAGTGTTCCCTGACTCCTCCAAGGAAAGGAGACTCCCTTTCACGGTCTGCTAAGTAATGGGTGTCTTCCCAGACACTGGCATTACCGCTTGACCAAGGAGCCCTCAAGCGGCTCTTACGCGGTCGTGAGAGAGGGCTCACCTCTTGCCTTCTAGGTCACTTCTCACAATGTCCTTTCAGCACCTGACCCTATACCTGCCGGTTATTCCTAGATTATATTAGTAATGCAACAAAGAGTACTATTAAAAGTTAATAATTAATAATGTTTATACTAATGATTGATAATTGTCCATGATCTTCTCTATATTTAATTTGTATTATGACTATTCTTATTCTAACTATTTTCTTTATTATACTGAAACAGTTTGTGCTTTCAGTCTCTTGCCTCGGCACCTAGATAATCTTTCGCCCGCCCCTTCCTGGCATTCAACTTGGATGAAGCTTTCTCTTTATCCCAGGCTTTGTCATTCTTTGTGCTGGTCTCTGCTGAGGCATCTGCATTGATTTCTAGTTCCTGGTTGCACAACCCAACATACTCCTGAAACCTCCCGACTTTCCAGCCAGAAGGTTCTGTGGTTACAGTAACTCTTGTGTCCATCCAACCACTTTCAATCATATGGGAATATCTTTCAGCAACCTTGGGCTCACAGGCTTCCTACAGGTGGCTCAGTCCTGGTTATTCATGTACTTATGCTCAGCCTCTACTTTTTGTGAAATTGCTGCCTGTCAAAAAACTTTCTGCCTGGAAATGTACCACTGGTACCCCCTGATTTCATAACCCCAAGCTGAATTTCTACCCTTTCCCTCCTCTTCATGCCAGGATTTAACCCTAAATGTTTCCAGTAATATTCCCTCTACTTTGGTCTAGAAAGTAAGTTCGTTTTCTAGTCTTCATAGTAGAAAACAGTACTTCAGCAAGTACACTTGCAAACTTAAGGCATCTTAGTCTTTTCTAATGTCTAAAGCCAACAATTAATTTCTCTAATTTTTCATGACAATTCTGCTGTGGCTTCATTATCTAACAAGAATGTTATGGTCTAGCCTGAGAGAAGAGAAGAAAATAAAGTACACACATGTATACATGAACATAGTAGTTAATATTTTTAATTATTATTCCTCCCACATGTGCAATGAAAGTAGTCTAAACCAAGCAATAATCATGATATGAGTTCAGAGTGAGAGATCACAAGAGATCAAATGTTAGATGACTTTTAGGTTAGCAAGGGTAGAGTGTTGTTAAATACAATTAAGATAAAAAGAAAATACTCACCAGACTTTTACCACATGGCATGAAAAGGGCATGTGTATGTATATGTGTGATGGGAGTGGGGGTGTAAGTAGGGGGCAGGTGTCATGGAGCTATAGAGTAACACATAAAAACTTACACATAGTCATAGAAATTGATCAGATACTAATAATTAACTGTTTCCACATGACTTTATGCCAAAATTTCTTTAAAATATACTTTTTATATAATGGCTTTTGAAAAAATGTATCCCTAATAATTTAGACCCATTACCTCTTATCATGTTAGTTCCATTATTTCCTTCAGGATATTTACCTCTTCATATATTTATATATGAATATAATGCTATATTATTCTTATATATAACAATATAATAGAATAAATAATATATAATTATATAATATATAATTAAGGTTATATCATGTATAGCCTAACTAGTTATAGAGCTATATCTAACTAGTATGCCTAATATATAATAATCACAACAGTATATTTAATATATAATAATCATGTATGTTACACATCTTTATTCATCAAATAATGTCCTATGTTATATATTTTATATTGCTAATTTAATTATTTAAAATATAAAATATATTGTTAATTCTGTAAGAATTAAAGAATCCTTAAGATTTTAAGAATGTATTTTACATATTCCTAAATATATCATTTCTATTCCTATGATACACATATACTTATATATATGTATATATCATTGGAGAAACATATATATAAAATATATATATACCCTAATATAATTATTTAATCAGAAATAAAGTTTTTTTTTTGTTGTTGCCCATGTTTTATTTGAGCAACACTCCAACTGCCTTATTCTGCATGATAGACTCTTAATATGCCTTAGTTAATAACTGAAGTCTAATCTCCAAATCTGCTAGCATCTTTATTTCTGTCAATCTTCAGAATTTACAGCAATATCTGTCCAAAAGGACAGGTAGATGATTGTTGCTGAAATAAACCAGACTGTCACAACTGAATGCTTCAGCTAGTTTAAGGTGAGGAGAAATATAGGATGTTACATTAAGATACAGGGAAAAAAGCTGAGAACCTATTGTATTGCATACATCTTGCTTTTCAACATGCATGACAAGAAAACACAGGCACATTAAAGGCAGACCTGGGATGGCAAAGGTGATTTCTATATACATCTGTTTCTCAGTTTTGCAAGCAAAAAATGCATCTCAATATGTCATTACTTTGTTTTAAAAGCTGAATTAATTTGCTACTAATCACTAGTTTAACAATAAGACTTTTTGCATACCAGTGTTTCTCTTTCATAATTCTAAAAGTGAAAATTAATTAACTAATTTTTATCAATATTTTCTTGGTAAAGCAAAACTTGAAAAAGAATAGCTACCTCTTTTACTGAAATATATTTTTAAAAGGTAATTGCTAAAAAAATGAAAGATGCAATAGGAAAATAAGAACTCTGTAAAGTTATAGATATATGTTAGTAAAGATAGTAGATGACATTGTCTAGACCCTTCCAAGGAATATGTAAAAGGATGTAAGGAAATAACTATTGCTACCTAACATCTACTGAGAGGTTTTCATGTGCCAGGCCTGTAGTTGATCACAATAATCAGGTTAGTTTTAGTTTTCTAATAAATGAACAAAACAACAGCAAAAAAAAGTACAAATCAAATGCATACTTCTACCATTTTACAGATAGAATCATGCAAATCACATAGCAAGTTAATGGTCTATTCTTATTTAAACCCAGGTATTTCTAATCCAGAACTTAAACTGCAAGTTACTGTACTTTTTGTGCAACTGTGAATAAATGTGCAAATACACAGATCATCTTGTGTGTTATCAGATTTCTTTATGCAGTAAAGAGGAGAATCTGCCTTTCTGAGATGGAAGAAAATATATACTTGTAGCCTTAGGTACAAGCACAGTTAGTCTCTCGAGCCTGCCAGAAGCCTGTCATCAGACTTAGTCAGAGTTTTTCTGCCAGACGATGCTTTATGATACATTGGCAGATGGAATGGTGCTCCACAAAACTCTATTTCTCCTAGATGCAATCTTAAGTGGAAGATGAGGTGTTTTCACCATAGGAGACATGTAACACTCCATAAGGACTAGTTGTACGTACCCCTTCTGGTGAATGCACCTCTCTTTGAAGTCCCCTGCTATTAAATTCAATGTGCATAGTATGTTCCTTGAAACTACAAAGCTAATTAATGTCAACTGATACCATGTATGTAGGCTGCCCTGAGGATTCTCTCTCACTTTACAGAAAAGAACTCTCGGATAGTTCTTTTGAACATTCTTCCATTTATTATTTAACAAATATAAATTAAGAACTTCTACACAGATTTTTGCCAGCAGTATTTCAGGAACTGGGGCTGGAGAAATAAACAAAACAACGTCCTTTCCCTTGTGGAGTTTTTATTTGAGGGAAAAGAGAGAAGGCTAGTAGGAAATGAGATTAAAGGAATAGCTAAGGACCCTAGTAAAGATTTGAATTTTACTGGAACTCTGATGGAAAGCCACTGGAGGCTTTTGAGCAGGGAAATGATCAAACTTAACACATGTTTTAAAAGAATTATTCTAGCTGCTATGTGGGGAAGGGACACATACTTCTGTTCGTGTGTCCAAATTAATTAATTTGGCCTTAGATAAATAGTTTCTGGATTTCTCCTGAGAACCTTTTCATGAAGCATTGTAATACCACATGCAATGTGAACAAAATTTCAGGATTATGACCCTTGCATTTCAGTCTTAAGAATCCCAGCATACAACAGTGTTAAGCAGGCACTGATATTTGAAGATTGCATTCTCAAGAAAGACACATATTTTAGTCCAGTCTATTTGCAATTCTAACAAGATAGATTATCTATTTTGTACTTCTGCAGATTGCAAGCAGTACTTTTGGAGAGATTGTACTCTCCAAAATTGAAATAGACATGATAAATTTGAATCCAAAGGTAACAAATTGCTTGTTTTGGCTTTGGAATTTTGTGTGTGTGTAATTCAAATGGCTTCTGCACTTTTTATATTATACGCCATCATATAATACTGTTCTTGTTCTAGGAACAACATTCCTTTTCCTGACACATAATAGGTGTTCATTAAATATATTTTAATAAAAGAATAAATGTTGACCATGTATCAATCCACAATCGTACACTGAATGCTCTCTATACATCAGGCAATATGCTAAATCTCAGAGGTTTACATATTGAAAGAACACATGATCCCTGCCTTTAAGGAGTCTGCAAGCTAATTTGGTTTTATATTAATGTCATGACTATTTATATGGCATAAATAATAATTGGCATTTACCGAATGTTCGTTCAGTGCCAGGCACTGTTCTCTGTGCCATCCATATTATTTTCTCTCTTGTCCTTGGAGCATAGATAAAAAGATAATAATGTTATTACCTTCATTGTTCAAATAAAGAAACTGAACCTTGGAAAGTTTAAATAATTTGACGAACATCCTTGAACTGAGAAATGAACCCAGACAGTCTGACTTGGCTTCTTAACAATTAAGTAATAATTGTCTCTAAGTAGGTGGAGGTGTCAGACTGTAACTGGTATTAACCTTCAGAAAAGGAGAAGACATTTTGTTGTTGAATTCTCAGGGAAAAGTTCACGGAGAAGGTAGGTCAATGAAGCAATAGTAGAGAGACAGAAAGCCATCGATCCCAGAGACATGTCATCAGTGACAAAGTTGAAACAGTAAAAAAAAACAAACAAAAAAAACAAAAAAAACTAAGATGTGTGGAAAAAATAGAGGTTACAGCTTTAAAATTTCAATTAAGTTTGGGTATATATAATGTGTGTCCCTTTGTGTACATATTTTTATTCTTTAATTTTGATTTTAAAATCAGAGATATGCCTTACCCAAATTTTAAAATTTACCTGCATTAAGTTGTTTAGCTGATATAATTTTACGTATTCATCTATTTTTTAAGATGTCAATTTTTGCAAATTTTGCAGAAATAGTCAAGAACTGGAAGTTGGAAAGAATTTGCAAATTTACACTAACCCACCAGATGTGCATGGGAAGGGATGGTGAGGAAGGGAATAAGGGGAGGATAGAAAATGAGAGGGGAGAAAAGAAGGAGAAATGGAGAGATGAAGCAGCAGCAGTTGGACAATGGGGAGATGGGGTGAACTAAATTATCACAGCTAATGTTAGAAAAGAAACAGCTACAAAAGGAAAGGATACTCTCTATTAACAAAAATTCAGGTAATGTGTATTATCTGTTTAAAGTATAGCTGGCTCTATCTCAAACTATTTTTATAGCATAGTACATTGACACATAGAAAGGGGAAAACATGTGTGTGTGTATGTGTGTGTATATATTTCTACAGCTGTGCCCCAAAACTCTTCTCATTGTGTGCCACCATGGAGGGCTTGTCTCCCTGCTGCCTAGTGCTCTTTTTCCTCCTTTTTCCCTCTCTAGTCTTTTCCCTATGCCTTCCAATCTCCTATAGAGTAAGAAGACTAAGCCCAATATATTGCATGCTGTGAAGATTTTAAATGACAAGATAAATGCCAGGGAAGTCTACGAGTACTGGCAGGGTATTTCCAGAGCTCAGGGTTTAAATGCTTTAACCTTTAGATGCAAGTAGCTCTTTATCTCTGATTGACATGTGTTCTTTAGTCTTGCTGGTGTCTTCCAGTTCTTTAGCAAGCACTTTATATTTGTTCCTAAAAATATATATGATATCATTTTAGTGGATATCATCTTTTTAATGCAAATTCCTGTTTCAATTTGGAGCAAGACTTACAGAGAGGAAAGCATTGAGAAGTGAAGGCACAGCAACAGCTTTTCATAATTTTAATATTTCCTATTTCATTACGGCTTTCAAAATCTTTTTCTGTTTACACTAACTTTCATTTATTTGCTAATAATTATTATATCTGTTACAAATTATATTTTCTGATAGTAATAGTCACTAAACTACAAAGTATTAAACATTGCATACTTTCTTCCCTCATATAAGAGAATGCCAGAGGTAAGCTGTTGACGGTTGGTTTGGTAGCTCTGTGCAATCAACGGTTGGCTTGGTAGATCTGTGCAATCAACTAGGAACAAAGCTTCTTGTCTTCTTTGTGGTCTGTCATCCAAAATGTGTCATTGTTACCCACAAGCTTACAAAATGGTTGCGGCAGCACCATCTGTGGTATAGAATTTCCAGATAGGACATAGAGGAAAGAGGGGAAAGCAAAACAAGGCCTGTGAAGGAAAACCTGTCCCAGATTTCATTGGTGAGGTTTCCCAGCAGAACCATGCATCACTTTTAGTTACATCTCTAGAATTAAATATTCAGCCATACCAACCTGCAAGAGAAACTTAAAAACTATAATTTATTTAATGGACATATTGCCATCTTGAATAAAATTATAAATATTTCACTAAGAAAGAAAAGGAGAATAAAAATAGTATAGGCATCTGCCACTCCCTGCCATAATCATGTAACTTTTTATTCTGAATCTGGTATCTTGATTATCTAAGCTGAAAGTGACATTGGAGATAACTTTCTAATATTAGAAATGAGTCCATTTATTGCTAACATTTAATAAGTACTCACTGTGATAAACAACTTGCAAAAGGCTTTATGTGCAACATATTATTTCATCTTCGTACTATGCTGATGAAGTGGCATAACTACTATCTAGCTATGGTTTTGATTAAGGCTTAAACTTAACACTAAGCCTTAGCTTCCACACAGGGTCCTGGAGGTAGTAAGTATGTAATATTTGTCAGATTTTAAGGTCAACATCAGTAAGGATTGTGTACTCAATATGCACCATACGAAGAACAGTGAGTGTTAGATGCTCAGTTAAAATTTTTGATTAATAAATAGAAGTTCACAGTGCTGGCAAGAATTGAAGCAGGTATATCTGAATCCAGAGCTTGGGCTTTAGACTGCACTGCATTGCCTGATTTATTTTTTTGTCAAAATGTCTTCTTTTTAAAATTTATTCATTACATTTTTCATAGTACTTTTTTCTCCCAAATAGTTTGAAAATCTCATGAAATTAGGATATTTTTATTGCAAATGAATGAAACCCAATTTATATCAGCTTAAACAAAAGGGGAACCTATTGTAGACATACTGGGATTTGGCAAGGAATCCAAGTATGTGGATAATCTTGGACCTTGGGAAAAACTAGCAACAACTATGCCACAGTAAGCACTTTCTGGTTCATGTATTTGTTCATTTCTGCTCACTTAGGGACTCCTCTTTCACTCTGCATTTTGTCATTTTATGCTCTTTGGCCCACAAAGCAGGGAACAACACAGTGTCACCCAAACTGGGTATGTTGTATCTTCAGGAATTAGAAAGAAACAGAGTCTCTTGGATCTCAGAACTCTGAGTGGCTAAATTTGTGTGAAGTGTCTGCCTCTGTATGAATACATGGAGAGGAAGGGGGCTATGATCATCACTTTGTGTCAACATAAGCACCATTGGACACCATGGTTTCCAGTTATTCAATCAAACATCAATTTATGTGTTGCTGTGAAGATGTTTCATAGACACGATTAAAGTCCATAACCAGTTAACTTTAAGGGATATTATCATAGATTATCTGGATGGGCTTTGTATAATTGACAAACCACTGCTGTTTCTCCTCAGGACATATCCCCACCACCCCAATTTGCTTCTACACTAAAACTAGGATCAAGTCCCAGAAGGCCACAAAAGGTGACTTACAAAGAATAACCCAAGAGGTTGTGCACTACAACCTCTTTTTGAGGAAGAATACTTCTATATTGCTGTATTGCTAAAGTATAATGTTACTATTTCTCCAAATCTTTCTTAGAAAGGATTAATGTCCATTTACCAGGGGTATTACACTGGGGAAAGGGGGATAATAAGACTATTTGTGGATTGCTGGGTACTGTCTTTGAACTGAAAAACATTTCTAAAGACACAAAATATTATTGTGGTCTACCAGTCAGAGAAGGTGTTTGCAGAGGTCAAATGATCCATAGAGTTTTAGCCCAGATCCATCTCATAGTTGGTCCAGTAGGTTATCAAACACATTCTGTGGTTATTTCCTCAGTTCTGGAATGCATAATCAAAATAGACATACTCAGGCCTGGCAGAATCTGCACATTTGTTCTCCAGCTATGAAGTCATGGCTATTTTGGTGGGAAGGCCAAGTGGAAGATACTAGAACTGCCTCTACCCAGGAAAATAGTAAGCCAAAAGCAATACTATATTCTGTGTGGGATTGCCGAGATTGGTGCCACTATCAAGGATTTAAAGAATGCAGGGGTGATGATGCCCGCCGCATTCCCATTCAGCTGACCGATTTGCCCTGTGCAGAAAAACAGATGATTCTTGGAGAATGGCAGACTATCATAAATTTAATCAGATGGTGACCCCAATTGCATCTATTCTTCCACATGTGGTTTCACTGCTTGACCAAATCAGCACATTTGTTAAAATTGATATTGAGCTATTCATCTGACAAATGCCCTTTTCTAACCACCTATTAGTAAGGGCTGCTGGAAGTACTGCTTTTTGTTGGTAGGTCTTAGCAATACAGCGTCACCATCCTACCTTGGCTGGATGTTAACTTTCCATCCCTGAATCATAATTTAGTCTACAGGTAGTTTGATTGCCTGTTCCTCTCCACAAGATATAATGCTGATTAATTATATTGATATTATGCTGATTGGGGTTGGGGAGCAGGAATTAGATACTATATTGTTACACTAAATATCAAGTATAGAAACTATACCTGATTTCTGTGTGTCAGAGTGCAGAAAATAAACCCAACAAAATTCAGAGACCTGCCACCTTACTTATAGTTTCAGGGATCCAGTAATATGGGGCATGTTGAAATATCCCTTCTAAGATGCATGATAAGTAGCTACAGCTGGTCTTTGCAACAACAAAGAAGTGCAACACCTAAAGAACCCCTTTGGAAAAAGAAGGCAACATTTTCCTCATTTGGATATGCTAATATAACTGATTTACCAAGTGACAGTTATGAGAAGGGCCTAGAATAAAAGAAAGCGCTGCAACAGGTCTGGAATGCTATTCAAGCTGCTCAGTCACTTGGGCCATTTAGTCCAAATAAGACTGGAAGTTTGATGCCTTTCACCAGCCTCTGTAAGCTAATTATAGTGTCACTCTTCAGTTGTTGGAGCAAAGTCCTCCATCCTCTACAGAAAACTACCCTCCATTTGACAAACAGTTTTTGATTTACTATTAGGACTTAGTAGACACACTGAATGCTTACTGATGGACCACTAAAGTGCTAGATGACCTGATCCTCATGTGAATGCTCACAAAATGGTGACCTCAGCAGAAGATTTTACTAACAAAGTGGATAGGATTACCAATTTTGTAGATATCATTCAGTGTCTTTCCCCAACTATTCTTGTCCATGTTGGATAATCTCATAAACATAATTAACATGGTGGCAGGGATGGAGGTGTCTCTTGGACTCGACAATTATAAACTGAGTGTTGTCTGACCCTTTAAACTATAAATGTGGACATGCAAGGCAGTACTCCATCATCAATGGAAGTGATACATGTGATATCAGGCTTCAGCAGGTCCTGAAGGCTCAAGTAAATTGCATGAAGTGGCCCAAAAGGCCTTGGGCCCTTCTTTGCCTATGTTACTTTTACTCTTTGAAGCCCACACTAATGACTCCTCAGACAACTGTATGAACACTTGACTGAGGAAGAGATAACTTGGGCCTGCTTTAGAGATAGTTCTACATGATATCCAGGATACCTGACAGTGGACAGCTGTAGTACTATAGCCTCATTCTGAGACATTCTAGAAAGACAATAGTGAAATAAATTATTATCAGTTGGCAGAGTTTTGAGAAACACACCTATTTGTTCATTTTGCCTGGAAAGAGAAATGATCAGAGGCACATTAATAGCAATCCACGGGCATGGCTAATGGTTTGGCCATATGATCACGACTTGGAAGGAAAATAATTGAAAAATTAGTGACAAGGAAGTCTTAGGAAGAAGGAAGTGGCTATTCCTCTAAGAATAGGCAAAGAATGAGAAGATATTTGTGTCCCATATGAATACTTATGAAATGATGACCTCAGCAAAGGAATATTTTAATAAGCAAGTAGATACAATTACCCATTCTATGAATATAAGCAGCTTCTTTTCCTAGCCACTCTTGTCATTGACCAATGGCCTAATGAACAAATTGACCATGATATCAAAGATGGAGTGTATACACATGCTTACCAACGTGGGCTTCCATTATGAATACTAACCTGACTACAGCTATTGCTCATTGTCCACTCTTTTAGAAGAGATTAAATCTAGGTCTCCTAGAATAAAACTAGATCCCGAAAATGGTCAGCCAGCTACCTAATGGCAGATTTATTACATTGGACAACCTTCATTAAGAATAGATAGTTTTTGCCCCGGATCTGGATGTGCCTTTCCTGAACTCAGTACTTCTGCCAAACTACCACCCATGAACTTATGGAATTTCCTCCATAGGTTCCTGGAAACTGCAAATTTAAGTGAAATAACTTACAACAGATCCTCAAATAACACTGTTCACTTCAATGTCATTTCACTACAATGTTGATGAGGAAGAAATTAATTTTGCTATGCACTTTTTCACTTAAAGTCACAGTTTCAAAGAACCTATCAACAATATTCAGTGAGGACTTACTGTACTCCACACAACATTGCTTCTCATCAAAGAATTCACTTAACAGCAATGGGCCCATGCTCATCGAATTACTGGTATTGATGGCATATTTCCCATCATCCTGAAATGAACAATAGCATGGACTTCTGGAAACTTAGTTGTAGTGCCATATAGGTGACAATACCTTGCAGGACTAGAGCAATGTCTTCCAGAAGACTGTATATCATCTAAATTAACATCCACTATATTATTTCTTCCATAGCCAGGATTCATTGGTCCAAGAATCAAGGGGATGGAAACAGGAGTGATCCTGATCACTATTTCACCAAGTAATCCACTAGAAAAACAAATGTAGTTCCCGTTCCTATTTGTTTAGGCTGTACTGGTCTACAGGTTGCTACAGGCTGTTACAAAGATAGATAGGAATGCATCTACAGGGAGATGCAACAATAATTGAACTACACTGGACAATTCCACTGGCCACTCTGGACTCCACAGGCCTCTGAATCTACAGGCAAAAGAGTTACTATACTCTTTGGGGCAACTGATCTTGATTACCAAGGGAGAATTGGGTGGCCACAACATGACAAGAGTGAGAAAGACCATGTTGGGAACACAGCATTCCTTAGGGTATCACTTAGTACTATAATGTCCTGTGATTAAAGTCAATGGAAAACTACAACCACTTAATTCAGGCAGGACTGCTAATGGGCCAAGCCCTTGAGGAATGAGAACAATGACCAGTGAGGTGCTGAGGTGTGTTTTTTGTTTGTTTGTTTTTTTGAGAGACAAGGTCTATTCTGTCACCCAGGCTGGAGTGTGGTGGCATGATCAGAGGTCCCTACAGCCTCCGAATCCTGGGCTCAAGTGATTCTCCTCCCTCCGCCTCCTGAGTAGCTGCGACTACAGGTGCATGCCACATTGCTGGGCAAATTTGTAACTTTTTTAGTAGAGATGGGGGCCTTGCAATGTTTACTAGGCTGGTCCCAAACTCCTGGCCTCAAGTGATCCTCCTGCCTAAGTCTCCCAAAGTGCTGGAATTACAGGCATGGAACACCATGCCTAGCCCAGGTGCTTCTTGAGGGCAAAGGACATATGGAATTTGTAAGAAAGTAGCTAACTATAAATACCAATTATGATCATGTGACCACTTCCAGAACTAGGAATGTAATAATTATTGACATTATTATGCGTATTTGTTTCTTATTTTGCTATGAATATGTTTATATATATATGGATATGGAATATATATACACAACCACACACATATCAGATTTTGTGTTCTTTGATCCCTTTAACCCTTACCTAAAGTAAGATGTATTATTAATACTTAACCTTTTATCAAAATATTAATCTAAAGGATATTAAAGGAGAAGTGTCAACCTCACCTCAAGGCTTTGCATCCTCTCCTGCTGAAAGGGTAAGCCTGTTTTCAAATTTGTGCAAGATAGTTGTATCATGTTTTGTTAAGGTATGACTTTGTTATGCTAAGTTAGAAACAGAGTTTGGTTTAAGAAGATGTGTATGGGTGCCAAGTTGACAAGGTGGGGACTCTAATGGTCAGTTTTACATTTCAACTCACTAAGCTATTGACCTAAGTATTCGAACAGACATTAATCTAGGTGTTGTAGTAAAGGCATTTTGTAGATGTGGTTAAACCCCACAGTCAGTTGAATTTAAGTAAGTGAGATTATCCGAATGAATCTGCATGAGTCTCTTCCCATCAGTTGAAAGGACTTAAAAGCAAAAGTGAAGTTTTCCTGGAGAAAAAATTCCAACTGTGGACATCAGCTTCAGCTCCTGACCAAGAGTTCCAAACTGCCCTTTCTATGGCAAGTCCTATGAATTTCGGACTTGCTTTACCATCCCCCAGAAGCAAGTAAGAGATTTCCTTGAAACAACTGTCTTCATGTACATCTCCTACTGCCCTGCTTCTCTGGTTGTACTTGACAATCTGTTACATACATTTTACATAATAAATGCTGCAGTGGGAACCAAGGCATAGAAAGGAACAGGGATCAAATTGAGAATTGAGTGAGTGGGGGTGTGGTTTAGGGTTAGAGTGGAGGGATCATGAAAAGATGTATCTAGGTCTATGGTTTATAGATTTCTTTTCTGACATATATACTGAGCCTGTGAATTAGTATCTTCATGCACTACGATAAAGAAATACCTGAAACTGTGTAATTTATAAAGAAAAGAGGTTAAATTTGTTCATGGTTCCGCAGGGTCTACTGGAAGCATGGCTGGGGAGGACTCAGGAAATTTTACAATCATGGCAGGAGGCAAAGGGGAATCAGGCATGTCTTACATGTCTTACATGGCCAGAGCAGAAGGAAGAGAGAAGTGAGACATGCTACAAACTTTAAAAAAAAAAAAAATGGCTGGGCACAGTGGCCATGCCTGTAATCCCAACACTTTGGGAGGTTGAGGCAGGTGGATCACGAGGTCAGGAGTTCAAGATCAGCCTGACCAACATGGTGAAACTCATCTCCACTAAAAATACAAAAATTAGCTGGGAGTGGTGGCAGGCGCTGTAGTCCCAGCTACTTGGGAGGCTGAGGCAGAAGAATCGCTTGAACCCGGGAGGCAGAGGTGCAGTGAGCCAAGATTGTGCCACTGTACTCCAGCCTGGACGACAGAGTGAGGCTCCATCTCAAAAAAAAAAAAAAAAAAAAAATCTCATGAGAACTCACTATCAGGAGAATAGCAAGTGGAGAAATCTGCCACCATGATCCAATCACCTCCCATCGGGCCCCTTCTCCAACATTGGAAATGTAATTCGACATGAGATTTGAGTGGAGACACAAATCCAAACCATATCAGCCTGCAATCAATATTCATGATGCTTTGTATTATGTAGAAAATTCCACATAAGCAGCATGATCTTTTTCACTATCTCTACATGTATTTATTTATTTATCTACAATATTCTCAAATTATCCACATTGTTTAATTTAGCAGAGTAAGAATAATGCTGAAAGGTTAAAAAAATTTTTTTCTGATTCTCATAATCTCAGAATTTTTAGTTTTTCAGCTGATCAGTTAAAATGCAACTGCAGTCTCTGTAAGTACCTAGGAAATACTCTAGAAATTTTTTTTAAAATACATACTTAAGTTGGGACTGCGTGTCTCTCTAAGTCTACATTGTCTCTGTTTTAGATTCTGAGCATTTCAATATATATTGTAACCACTTCCCTGTTATTTTCTACGGTTTGTATTCTTCATGTATTCCTTTTATCTTTACTTTTGCTGAAACAAAATTGCTGCTGAATTGTCCATTAACTCTTCTTAGCAACTGCACTTTCTTAAGAAAAAAAAAACTCATGCTAGCTGAAGGCAAAATGAGCAGATATTGCCAGTATTTTAGAAGCTCCATTACATAACAAATAAGGGAAGAATATTAGGTTGAAAGAAAATTAAAGCACTAACAATACAAGGTCTTTCTTAAGAATATTTCTGCTAAAAATTAATCTATTCTAAAATACAGAATGAGTTTGCTATACTGATGAAGCTCTTCCTTATAATTAAACATCAACAAGACAATTAAAATATATTATCTGTGTTTTAGGTCTCTCTTTAGGAGGATAATCGGGGGAAAAACACACACACACATACAATGAGGTAAGAAAAAGAAATGAGACTAGGAGTAAAGATGGGGTAAAATAAGCAAGAAAGAGGAGAAAGTTCTGGACAAAAAATATTGTCGAAATGATAATATTCAATGTGTGTTAACTCAATGCATAATTCAGCCTGCCTCACAATAGACTATCTGATTCATGGGAGTCATTTTGAATGTTATCTTCTCAAACAGCAATTTTGCCTTTTGGACAACTAATTTCAAATAGGCTAGGATTCCTCTGCAGACTGTCAACAATGATAGCAGGTAACAAAAGAAAAAAAAAGAAATAGTTGTGAGGAGGGAGGGAAAATGAATGGAAGGAAAGAAGGAAGGAAGGAAGAAAGGAAAGATGTACTTTATGAAGTTTGATATACTCTTGTGCCACATATCTTGCATGTGTATTACTAATTTTTAAAATGGTTTTTAAAAGGTTAACATTTTAGAGGTGTATATTTAGATCCATGATAATGTTTATACCTTTAAATTCAATCATATATTTATTTGAATATTAAGCTAAAAACTATTAAACACTTAAAAAATATATGTTCATTAAGCTATACATTACTGCAATCTTATTTTGAAGAGGGGAAATTAAAAGAAATGTAGTTAGAACAGTTAGTAAATTGTAGCCCATTAATTAATGAGTAGTAGTATTCCCCTACTAAAATGATTATTAGATGCTCTATGCCTGTGGGAATGAATATAATGAAGATCTGAAAGCAACTGTTGTGTTTGAGTAGTGGAATTGTAAGTAATATTTCAATAATTATCTTTTTTGTATAATGTATGGAAATGAAGAGGAAGATTTGGCCTATGACTTTTTTTTTCAAAATTTTAATTTCCCTAAAATAATTGGTGGTTTTTAAATGACATTTTTCTCTAACCTCTCTCTTCTACACCTGTATTTCTCTTTTACTTTAATCACACCCTTTCTTCTCATGGCTCATTTGTACATTCCCACTGTTTTTATATTGATTGTATTTATTCTCAGACTCTAATTCATTACCTACCTCAACTCTCATTTTGTAACATGTATTTATTTATATCTAAAGGATATTGTTGGGGAGGAAAGAAAAACATCTTGGGAGGAGGGAAAAAAGGGTAGTAAAGAGAGAAAAAGAGAGAATAGAATGCTGTAATGTAGGTGCTTGAAGACACAAAATTGAATTCAGATGGACATAGTCCTTTTCCAAAATGATGTTTTAGTCCCATAAGGGAAGATAGACATTAAAAATAATAATAAAATAATTGTACACATACTTATATGGAAAAATCCATGAAAATGAGTATACTTTAATACACACACACACACACCAAAAAGATATAATTTAGGTTTGGAGTTCAAAGAAGGTGGTATCCACAAACATCTGACATTAGGATCAATTACAAAGAATATAGTAATTATCCAAGGTGAAAGAAAGTGATTGTTAAGGGCTAAGGCTTCTTGTGTGGCAAAGATATAAAAAGAAAAAAAGGAAATAAGTGAGATCTATGGGAGCTTAGCACATATGAGAAAATTCGAAGATTGTGGTTGTGTTCAGAGCATATGAGAAAGGAGGAGTGTAGAGTTGATGTATGATGGGGTCAGAAATTTAGACATGACTTTTTTTGTCATCATAAGAACTTAGGATATTTAATCTAAAAGCAAAGAAACCACAGAAGTATTTAATGCTAGGCAACAACAACAGACCAAACTCATGTAGTAAAAGGAATGTCTGGATGCTTTGTAGAGAATCATCTGGAAGTAGCCAAGGGTGAATATGAAAGCTATTGCAAAAGACAAAACAAAAAATCAGAGTGGCTTAGACTAGGGTTCAGACATGAAGACAGAGAGATTTTGTATTAAGAATATATTTCTAATATAATTCATAGGACTTGGTGATTAACTAATGTGAAAGCAAAAAATGTCAGATAAAGACTGAAAAACTCATAACATTTGAAGTTTTGGTTAATGAACGCAAATAAAAAGGAGGCGTCTGGGAAGAAGTGCCAGAGATACAGAAATAAATTTTTAATGGGTAATCACGAAGAAGACAGGTATAAATTATGTGTAACTCAAATCTTTCTGTTTACTTTTTCCTTCTGATAGGATGACCCCAGCTAACTTACAGAATTTGGTTTTATTTTCTGTCCTGTGTTTATAGAGATCGGACTTTCTTCACCGCTTCTTCCTCCCACCAGGGACTCCTCACAAAACTCCTTGTAGGGAACTATTGTCCTGACTTATGTGAAAGCAGAAAGAGATTAGAATACATCAGGCTTCCATTCTTCTTGTCACACTCTATCTCAGATAGCCTTCATGAAAAAGGTATTCCAGAATGCAAAGTTTTGCTTTGAAAGGCCAGGGAAATCTCAAAATGAAGCTAAAACACAGGAAGTACTAGCGATTAGTTTACTTTGACTTTGACATTGCAAAGCACTGAAGAAAATTTTCTAGGCTTAAGCTATAGGATCCTGTGTGATGCCTGGGAACTTTTCTCCACAGGAGAACTGACTCTCCTGGCTGGTACCCCCATTCACATGTAGACTTCCTTCTTCCTGGCTCTCAGTTCTAAAGCCTCACTCCATTCCCACCCTCAAAACTAATACCTCCTTTATATTTTCCCTATCCTTTCCTGCAGCCTTCAAACAGGGGATGGCTTCAGTCCATGAGTTAGCAAGCAAAACTCCATTTCTAGGTAATTCTCTTTACATTTAAGAGATCGTGGCTTCTTATTTCTCTTACTACAAATCCTAATCAGAAACATAAGTCTAAAAATTAGCATTTCCTTTAGAAAAAAAATGCATGCTATACTTTTAAATTCATTTGCAGCCATTTAGAGCCAAGGGAAATTAGGTTATATTCTGCTACTTTGGGGGGACTAAAGACATCAAGCAATTAACTGAAAACATTTGATAGCTGCTTCTGTTTTGTTTTGTTTTGTTTGTTTTTATGTTTTTTGTTTGTTTGTTTTTTTTTTTTTTGGAGGGGGGGTTTCACTCTGTCACCTAGGCTGGAGTGCAGTGGCGCGATCTCAGCTCATTGCAACCTATGCCTCCTGGGTTCAAGCAATCCTCCCACCTCTGCTTCCTGAGTAGCTGGGATCTTGGGTGCATGCCACCATGCCCAGCTAATTTTGTGTATTTTTGGTAGAGACAGGGTTTCGCCATGTTGCCCAGGCTGTTCTCGAATTGCTGAGCTCAAGTGATCCACCCGCCTCAGTCTCGCAAAGTGCTGGGATTACAGGGTTGAACCACCACGCCCAGCCTGTTTTGTATTCTGGATGTTCATCATATTATATAGTTTTTATTTAAAGCGTTTCTCGATTAGAAATAAGGAAGACTAACAAAGATCTATTCTAATGAGTTATTGCTAATCTTGGATACTAAATTTAATACCGTGAACACTAAATCTTTTTCACTGGGTGGAACGTCTTGTTAAACTGACCTGAAGATATTTCAGCAGTGGGGAGCTGTACATTCCAGACTAGAGTGGATTGAGAGTGTTGATGAGAGATGGGGAAGTGGAAACAGGCAAAAGAGTCTGCGTATATCACACGTGGAAATGAGGTGAATTAAAGAGTTAAAATGGCTGTTGGATGGTGAAATCTCAATTTTAGGTGGGAGTATTAATTTTTAGAAGTCACTTTATCATATATGAATGAAGATGAAAAGAATAAAATTTAAAGGCAGAGATAATGTCATAGAAATATGGGCTAATCAAGGCTAGAGAAACTGGGGGAAGTGAAAGGGGAAAAGATGGGATTCAGCTCACAAAGGAAAAGATTGCCTTGATAAGAGGAGGAACACAATCTTGACTAAAATGTATACGAAATTAAAGATGATGGGTACTGCAGAGATAGATTTGGATAATGTGTGCCAGAAATTGGAAATAATTTTTGCTTTATGTCTTTTACCTTCTCAGTGAAATATGAAATGCCAAGTGTTCAAAATGGATAAAATTTGAAAAAGTCATTGCAGATATTACTCAAGAAAGCTGATTAGATTAATGCAACAGGATACTAAGGGATGATTACTGAGGACCAAGTGGAGGTTAGTGAAAATGAATTATCATCTTTAACAGTCTGCAGGCTATTTGTGTGAGATTCTCCCGCAGTCTGCATCTACCCTAGGCAATATAGAGAGGAGGAGAATGTATTAATGATTAATGCTAGTGTAGGAGTGAGTTTCAGTCGTGCCAACAAATAATTATACATACTGCTCTAACACATTTTAATCTACTCTAACACATTTATATAACAATGTCATGTATGAAGTTTTTGTTTTGTTTTGTTTTAGAGATGGAGTCTCACTCTGTCGCTCAAGCTGGAGTGCAGTGGCATGATCTCCCTTCCTGCAACCTCCACCTCCTGGGTTCAAGTGATTCTCCTGCCTCAGCCTCCTGAGCAACTGGGATTACAGGCATGCACCACCACACCTGGCTAATTTTTGTATTTTTAGTAGAGACGGGGTTTCACCATATTGGCCAGGCTGGTCTCAAACTCCTGACCTCAGGTAATCCACCCAGCTTGGCCTCCCAAAGTGCTGGGATTACAGGAATGAGCCACCACGCCTGGCCTGAAGTTTTAAAATAAGATAAAATATGTGTTTGCTTCATCAAACAGCTCTGAGGCTTAACACTGATAGCATCTCTTTGGAACCTCTTCATGAGTTTGGAAAGTGTCCATCTTGTGATTTCTCAGCATACACTTTGTATCATTGCTTCTATATTTTAAAATCTAGTTATTGGCAACTATTTCACTATAAACAATTGTATGTAGTGGTTTAATATAAACTTGCAATGCCCAAGGACATATATGCTGTAAATAAAATTGCATTCTCTTGTTACAATTTTTATTCTTGAACATAGGTATAAACTAGTATGAACAATATAACAAATCCTACCATATTATAATCCTCACCCACAATGCAAAACTATTTGTAAAAACCTAAAGTAGTGTCATTATATGTATGATTCGATACAAATCAATTATTTTAACATGGCTGTAAAGTGCAAAATAATTTTCCTAATTCTGACAAATATATATTTCTCTTTAGATGATATCTATATGTATTTCCAGCAAGACAAGTAAGATACTGGCTCTATCTCCTGAATATAACTACATTCCCTAAAATTAGGATGGACACTCTCATATGTTTTCATATTATTTTAGTGTTCGTGTGTGTGTGTGTGTGTGTGTGTGTGTGTGTTTTGCTTGTTTTGTTTGCTTTATTTTGTATACGCAAAATAATGACTGGGGGACATTGATAAAAAGTGATTCTTTTGTTGGAAGCAGAAGGCAGTTAGGATAGAAACGATCTTTATACACAGGTGATTTTAATAAAATATATATCTCCCTCTGCTACTGAGCCTTAATATGTTTATTCTCTTCCTACTTCTGTTTGTCATCTCCTAACTAAAAATGTTGTTTTAAAGGCAGCACATTTTTTCTATATTTTGAGGCAAATAACCCTTATTACATATTCCACCTGCTTTGGAGAGTCTTCCTAAATAGGAAAAAATTGACTGTTGATCTAGAAGGATCATTTCTTACCAGAAATAATTTTAGACAGCAGAAATATGGCAGTTATGTGTAAGTTATGTGTCCCTTCCCTGGAGCTGACTTCACAGCTTTAACATTCAGAGAAGGAAGGAAACTGTAGCTACAACCCTCGGGCTAACTGTCACTGTTTTTTAATGTCATGATCTGGAAGTTCAGGAGGGTCATCTGAAAATGGTTCTTGGGCTAATCCTAAGAAATGGCTAGAGGATGTATAAAAATTGATGCTGTGGCTGATAATAGATCCTCATTGCCAGAGGATTTAAAGGCTGCTTGGAGAAGTTAGATGAGAATATTTTTTCAGAATGTTCATTGCTAGTAATTTTAGTAACTGGAAAATGCCTGGGTATTTGTGGTAAACATGGACTCTTTAATCATGCTCTGAGCATAAACAAATATAACTATCCAAATAATAGTAGGATTATATAGTTCAGTGCTTTTAAAAAGTATATTATGACCTATGATGTTTTCACTTATTGCACATTTTTCTATGAATTGGCACTATTACATCTTTTGAATTCTTGTCTTGTTTTGGTTCTCAGTCCACGTAACCTTACTATTACCTATATTATTATAAGGTAAATTATTTTCAGAAGAAAATATATTTCAACTTACTTTATAGCTAAGGTATTTTTTAAAATAAAAATTCAGAATATTTGATACTATGTAAGATGCTTGAATGTATTAAAAACTGAATTGTGAGAGCTTTATAAACTCTATTCACTTGAAAACTTCAAAAGATGTTGCTGTTAATTGTAATTTAAAAATGGCAGAGTAAGGAATATGATTCAACAAAATTTTAAAGATCAGATGGTTTACATAGGCTTTTGTCAAAATGCTTATTACCTAATTGGTATTACAAAAGAATAGGGGGATAAAAATGTATGATTTGGATTTCTTTTTTTTTTGGATTTTGATCTGAGATTTTAACCCAGTTTGGGCAGAAAATTTCTCCCTTAAAAAATTTTATAAACGTTTTCTAAAATATTTCTTCCCAAAGAGTCACATCCTAAAATACTCATTGTGAGCCATGATTTAATAAACCGAAAGAATAATTTATGAAAGTATAGAAGAATGATTTTTCCAAAACATTTAGTAAAGGTCAGTATTTGTGAAATAATAGCTCTTCATATTGAAAACAGTTGATTAAAGAGAAAAGCAGAATGTAAGTAATTATCAAATGTAACTCAAAATAATAAGATAAAATTAAAAAATCACTTGAAGTACTTACCATATATTAGAATTTATGTTGTGAAGTTTACATGTTATTTTTAATATTTGAATATTTCAAATATTATTCATAGTTTTCTCAAGAACGAGCAGAGGATATATTGTTGTTAAATTTGTTCATTGTCACATAGCTAAGAATGTGAAGAAATTGAGATTTCAACCCCCACATGTTGAACTTGCAAGTTAATTCCAACACAAACATATTTTTTCTTGGCTCTAAATGGAAGCTTTTCTGATTGAGTAACTTATGAATAGTATTTTCCAAATAATAAATTATTATATTAGTTTTATAGAAAACATACAAATATAGTAACATAATTTCACCTGTAATCTGAAAATTCTCTGTTATAGTGTATATTTATAACCTGTGTGCTCTGTGGTGTGGTGTATATATAGGTATGCATGAACGAGTGTGTCTCTGTGCATGTGTAAGTGTATAACATAAACATTATTCACACATTGAAAATATATGTCATCTCTTCTTTCCTTTATTGTGATGTCATTGAATATGTTCAAAGAAAAACAGAATTCATTTACAGATAATATTTTTAATAAATAGAGCAATTCTTAAATTTGAACTGTATCAGTTGAGTTTTGTGAAAATGAATGATAATAGTGTGTCTATTATCAACATTAGAAAATGAATTCTCCACTTTGAAATTTTTTATCTCCCTGTTCTTCAATACACTTGTTACTTTAAATGATCTTATCCATTTTACTTACTATATAATAAACCATCTATCAATTCTTATAAACAGAGCATTTCTCAAATGATAAAAACTAATTATTTTTTTATAACAACATGGGTTCTCCTTTTGGTCACTGGCAGTCACTGGCTTTATCAGAATTAATACTTTATATAATAGCTGCTCAATTTGTCAAAAAAAAAAACAAATTAATGTTGATCTCATTTTCCTTAACATGTTAAACCCAAGTACATATATATTGCAAGAAAAATTATCTCTGTTTAGAAGGAACATTAATCTGAAGGAAAATAATTCTTTATTAAGTATTTATGCTTTATAGCAAGCATTGAAAATTGCCTGGAAACCTTTTCTGTGTGCATTAGTGCCTGTAAAAATTATCTTGCATGTACCATTTAAGTATAAATAGACAAGACCATGTAAATTACACCTTACAACTACACCCTCTGTAATCTCCATACAGTAAAACTGGAAAGGTCAGAATATTATTTAACGTTTTAAAATTTATATGAAAATAAACTGAATCTTAGCTTCCCATTTGGCCTTGACAGGTAATATGGTAATATTAAAAGCTTCTAGATTCTTTCTTTTTAATTCATATGGTAATCTGACATCACCTTCAGTTTCTAATTTGCCTTTTAGTTTGCTAACACTTTCAGAACTACTGGTACATAAAGGTCTTATTAATACCTTGCCTCTATTATTTCCCAAACTGATCTGCATCTCTATTCACTCACCTAAGAAAATCTGTCCTACATATAATAGCAATGCAGTTAATGAAATAATTGGTTTAAAATGTTGTACTCGGATGCTGTACACTGTAAAGACTTTTGCAGCCATTATAGTTTTTAGGACATCACTTAGAATGTCGTTTGTGAAGTGTACTGTTATTTAGAAGAAATTGCATGACAAATTTAATGCAATTGGTATTTCCCCTTGACATGAGTGCTATTCATACCTTTTCCCTCTTATTTTTTGGTTTTGAAAATTTTTTTCTCCCATCTTATTCAGAGTGGCAATATGATGCTGCGAAAGAGCTCAAGTGTTACAAGAGAGAGCTGACTGATCATACGAAGCCCATGTCTTACAGCCTCAGTTCCCTCACCTCCAAGCAAAGTTTCTAACTAAAAGTGATCACTGGAAACTAAATGTGTTCATGTAAACTCATTCCATGCAGCATGATTTGTTTAATTTAATCTTACTATATTTGTGATATTCTATTTCTCTTCATATTTGTTCCATAAGGGAAAAAAAAGTAATTTACATTATCCCCATGTGTTAAATTGGCAGCTTGAAAATTTTTGCAATTAGGAAAACTTGGGCATAAAATTTTAAGAACTTGCTACAGGAGAAAGGAAACAAATTTTGGAGTCAAGTATTAACTTTGCCAGTTAGTGGTTGTATATCTTCTGGCAGGTCACTCAGTTTTCTCAATTTTGATATACTGAGTGTCTAAAATAGGCATCGTTAGAATAAAGATATGTAAAGTTTCGGGTATTTTAACCAAGTATACATGCAAGAATTATCCACTACCCTTTTCCTTAATTTCAGGTAACCTGAAATGGGCCAATGATGTACTATAATTACATTCTTTTTAGTATATATGGACACATGTAATCTTTCAGACACAAATACAGCCAGGGAGAGGGCAGAAACCTAGTGGGTGCTTTAAAACACTTTGCATTTATCAGTTAACAGGGATGATTACTCAAAACATGCCTGTACAGTGGCTAAATGGTGGATTTGAAGCAGTCCAGCCAGAAAGAAAAGGAGTATTTTATCACAGACATTGTTTAGAATTGTTGGCACATGGTGTTAATAAAACATATACTCACTTTTATTCCACTTTAATATGTTTTTAAATTATCTAAAACAAATGTTCCCCTCCCTCCTTATAGCAGTCCCCTTTTGAGACATTATGGACTGAGCTGGTTGTTTTTGTCTGTTGTCCAGTCAGAATTGGTCACTTCCCATGTATCATTTCCATGTGCCCTTTCCATGTGCCCATGGGTTAGTGCCTGTTTCTGACAGTCAATACCAATGCTGACTTGGGGTCAAATATTGTCAATATCAATTCTGACTGAAAGAAACTTTATGTAAAATCAGATATTAAAGGAATGATTCAGATATTGAGAAATCCATTTGCTGCCCATACATCCTCCAAAACCCTTTAAGTTGCTATGTTTCTGATGCAATTGAATATATGTAACATAAGAAATACGTATATTTTAACCATAAGTAAGAATCACAGGATTAAAAGAATCCTATCAAACACTGATTTTTAAACACAAAGTGTAATTCTAGCCATGTTTCAACTTTTACCAACATCCAGACTATTAAATATACTTTAAAGGAGAATCTTTAGGCAGAAGATAAAAATGACTTTGATATGCTAGCACAGACCTTTTTTTCTTTTAGCTACTTTAAAGTTACTTTTTTCCATTTCTTCTCCAAAATTCTCAAAGACTAGCTTTGTCTCTCTTTGTCCACTTTCAAACCTCACATTCACCATTCAACCCACTGCAACCTGGCTTCTGCTCCCTGGCTCACTCAGCTAAAAGCACTATCGTTATGAAGGTTATTAGGCAGTTCCTAATTCCCAAACCTAATGGACATCACTTCATTTGATGTTATTGAAACACTATTCCATTTATTTCTGAGTTTCATAATTCTTACTTTTACTTTTTTTTATGAGCACATTTATCTCGTTTTCCACATTCTGCATTTTACAATATTCCTCAGACCCAACACTCTTGACACTTCACAAATTCATTTACTCTCCTGGTAGCTATGACTTTGTATACATGAAATCCCAAAACTGTTAGTTCAAGAGCAGAACTTACAAACATAACTTGAGGTTGAGATTTTCTTAATCAAGATCAGAACTTTAGGACAAAACGTGAAGCTGAGATAATCATGAATTTACTTTCTTTGACATCTCCACCCACATGCCCTACAGGTACATCACATTGAATATACCAAAAACAGAGTCAATTGTGTCTATGCTTAAACAATACTGTATTTTCTGAGTTTGTGCTATTATCATCTATTTTTCAAACCTAGAAAGCTGAGTTATATGTTTAATTATCTTTATTTATTTATTTTTATGTAATTTTTGGTTTTTTTTGAGATGAAGTCTCGCTCTTGTCCCCCAGGCTGGAGCGCAGTGGCTGGCTAACTGCAACCTCTGCCTCCTGGTTTCAAGCGATTCTCCTGCCTCAGCCTCCTGAGTAGCTGGGATTACAGGCACCTGCCACCAAGCCCAGCTAATTTTTGTATTTTTAGTAGAGACAGAGTTTCACCATGTTGGCCAGGCTGGTCTCAAACTCCTGACCTCAGGTGATCCGCCCACCTCGGCCTCCCAAAGTGCTGGGATTACAGATGTGAGTTACCGTGCCCGGCCCATCTTTAATCTATATGTAATGAATAATCTATTCCTAAAGTACCCTAATTTTGATCTCTATTTTATCTTCTCAAGGTCAGGTCTTTGCTCTCTACTACTAGATATAACTACTGTGGAAGCCTCCTAAGCCAGTCTCCTGTGTTTGGTCTTATCTCACAACAGTCATTCTCCAGAGAGTCAATACGAAGTTCTGTAATGCAAATATGCCGTTGTCTGTCTGTGTAAGTGTTGAGGCACATATAACGCATGTTTAAAAATATAGTCACATCTTTGTTTAATACCATATCTCTATTCTCCTGTTTTACCTATTGTGAAGAATCTGTCTTGTAAGATGTCTCCTCCATTGACAAGTTAAAATGCAAACAAACAAAACATGAATCCGAAGAGTTAGTGGCTTTATTAGGTCCAGCTGATAAATCTTGAAAATATGATCAGAGAACAATCAGGCTTCATTCTCTGCTTCCATTACTGCTTTTTCTAGTTCAAAGTGTTATTATTGCAAAAAGATTATTGTTATAAGATTTTCCCTTTCACCTGTTGGTATGATCAACGGGCTTTGCTGCTAGAGTATCAGCATTAGTTTCTTAGACCAAAACAGTTCATTTCTCCCCAGTGTTATCTTAAACCAGGATATCTGATCCCACCAAATTTTTTGCAAAGTAATAGGATTTGAATGTACCTTAATACACACACACACACACACACACACACACACACACATTTTTCAAACATGCCTTTGTAGTCTTGGAGTGTTGTTTTTAGAAATATTCTAGGCTAGGACTTGCTTTTTCAAGAACAAGCCATCTTCTGTGACAATGAAGACCGGAGGAATCAATTCACAGTGCATTCCATTCTAATAATTTCCTTCTCAAGAGAGCCTTGATATCCTAGCCAGCCAAATGTCTTCCCTTGGGATTCTATAATGAATGTCAAATATTCAACAACACCAACATTCACAAGGTAAGGAGTAAGAACCTTGATTCATTTTCTTCCCAAAAGGGATCATTATCATTGCTCCATATCCAAGAAATTTGCTTTTCCTATTTAATATTGTATACTTTCCACATCAATAACTACTACTGAAAATAAACCTAATTCATAATGGCTGTGTATATTATAAAAATACACCAACCAAAATTAACCAATATCCTTATATAGAGTAATTTTTAAAAAGTGTTTTCTCTATTAATGCTTTTGTAAATGTCTTTGTACAGAGATCTTTGTTGTTGTGTGACTGTTCCCTTAGAATATACTTCCTTCAGTGGAATTACTACAAGAATATTTCCAACATTTTTATACAAACAGGGTAATAACTTTCTACAAAGTTATAAAATTTATATTCCTGTCAACACTATGTAGGAATACCCATTTCTTATATGTTTAAGACTGTATTTTAGCATTTTAATGGCAAAATAGCATTTTCATTTTAATTTCATATAATGGATTTGTTGTCATTAAGACCCTAGGCTCTCTTCCCACGGGTATTTGTGTGTTATTCATAAGGCCCTATGTATTTCTCAAATGAACTGGCATAATACTGTTATCTTTCACTTCTTACAAATTACTTCTCAAATTTGGTCTTTATGGTAATTTATTATTGAGCTCTCTGATGTCAAGACACCAGTGTTATTGTGAGTTAAAAGAGTGGTTTCTCTGGTTGGCCTTCTTAAAGATGCTAATGTTTGGGAAGATCCCTTTTTTGCTGTGCTTTACCCCTGACACATTTAAACTCTACTGTTATGTTCTAGTAATATTTTAAAAAGAAACAATTCTACTTCCTTCTAAATTTTTATTTCATTATATACTAGATCGACATTCTTTTTACCTTTGAGATATTTTCCTCATATTAATTCCCTGTGTTCAAACACTATTGTCTCTGCAGATGAGCTCTTCACTGTTCTTATGCAAAGTAACCCCCACCATACTTCTTGTCAGGCCATTCAGAAGTGTACAAACCATCGAAATGTTAAGCCATATCAACTTATAATCACTCCTTATTATACAAGGAACTTTGTAGTGTGGAGGGGCAATAGTAACTTCTATGACATGTCATGAGGCCAGTTACTGAAACATACCAAAAATTATAGAGACCAATATGCTCTCTGGAATTCCTTAACTAGATACAGTAAAGTCATCAATTATTTATACTTAATTCAGAGTATAAAACAACCAAAGGGAAATGCAAAATTCCATTATACCATGGTAAATTCTTTTGGTTCAGGAGTTTTTACATAGGTTCATAATGTCAATGGTCCACTACAATACATATGAAGTTGTTGTTTAAATTGCATATTTTCTCTAGCTTTTACTGTTGCTGCAAGGGCTTGACTCAGAAATATGTTTAATAATAAAACCACATAGAGGTAGTTTTTAGTAAGACTTCTATCCTTCTGATTAAAAGAGGACAGTAGCCATGTGAGGAGAGAGATTTTACCTATGCCAGAGGGATTATAGCAATATCTTAACTTTTTGTTGTGTTTGTTTTTGTTGCTTGGTTGTTTGGTTGGTGGTTTTATGTCCTAGTTCTTCTTTGCAGCAGTGAATTAAGACAAAATGATTTAGTTTTTTCAATTTAGAAAATTGCTGAAGGCAAAGACTTCTCTCTTTAATACTACTCAGCAATTCTTAACTGAAAAGTTGGGTTAAGAAAAAAATACAGTAGGGAAATGATTTTGATCAACCTTCCTGATGAGGGCATTAATTGATAATTTCTATCATTTGATGTTATTTTTCCACCTATCCACTTTCCATTGACCTTTATGGAATAATTCTGAATTAGATTTAAGTTTCCTTTCGTCTTTGTGATATTTACTATTGAAATATCATTTACTTTGTGGATCATTTTTAAGAGGCTCATTTATGCACATAGCATTGCTATAAATGAGGCACTGATACTTCATGAAGTCTTTCTTCTCTAATCTTTTCATCCTTGTAGCCAGTGTTTAGTTTCCACACATATATTCCAACTCTAAAATACACTGTTTTTAGTGTGATGAATAGTGATCCTCTAATTATTTTAATAGGCAACTCTAAGATAAACTAATGTTGACTTTAAAAAATCAACTTAATGGGCCGGGCGCGGTGGCTCACGCTTGTAATCCCAGCACTTTGAGACGCCGAGGTGGGTGGATCACGAGGTCAGGAGCTCGAGACCATCCTGGCTAACACAGTGAAACCCCGTCTCTACTAAAAAATACAAAAAATTAGCCGGGCGTAGCGGCAGGCGCCTGTAGTCCCAGCTACTTGGGAGGCTGAGGCAGGAGAATGGCATGAACCCGGGAGGTGGAGCTTGCAGTGAGCCAAGATCGCACCACTGCACTCCAGCCTGGGAGACAGAGCAAGACTCCGTCTAAAAAAAAAAAAAAAAAAAAAAAAAAAATCAATTTAATGAACAAAAGCTTACAATTTGAAATTTTAAAATATCATTACTTTTCAATGCAATGTAATTAACAAAATATTTGAATGCCTAGTGTTTTTAAGGCCCTGTTCCGGATATAGGAAAGCTAGAGAAAATGGTGGCTTCACAACTTTACAATTCTGCACAAATTCTACAGTCAGTGTAAAGTCTTGTACAGTAGTGTATTAGTTGGAGATATGTAGTCTAGGATGCTGCCAAGTCATGTATTTCTCACTTATATAAAAATGAGGTAGATTGGTGGTCCAGTGTTAATAGGCCTCTGATCTCCACTTGATCATCCAGGTTCATGGCCCCTGTTTTTGGCTTCTCCTATACTTCAACTACTGTCGTTATCTGCACATTCAAACTTGGTTCACCAGCACCACATCCAAGTCCCAGACCACAGAAAGGAGAAAAAAATTAAAAAGAAACGCCAAAGGTGTATGGTTTTAAAGGCAAGACTCATCCTGAAAATAATTGTCAAGAACTTTATTACCCAACCATACATAGCTACAAAAGGAATAAGAAGTGTCTTTTCTGTCTATGCAGCTCTGGACTAAATTAAAACTTAGAAATCACTAATAATGAAAAAAAGATGAGATTGAAAACTGGAGAATTATTATCACTACAAATATGTTTTTATAGAAATAAATATTAACACAGACAAGGTGCTATAATATGCAGAAAGGTGTGAATGTAGGAACATGAGCCCTTACTTACGGATGTGGGAAGTTCAGAATATTGCATACATGCTTTTTGAACTGAGGCTTAATGTTTCACTTGCAATTCAGCCTATATAGATGGAGGGAAGGAGCTTTCAAAGAGAAGGGTCAATATGGTCTATGGTTTAGTGATGAAAAATATTAGAAGAAGAGGTAAAAGTCTGGTCTGTAAGAAGTAGAATAAGTAGAATAAAATTTTAAGATCTGAACATGCAGGATTTGCATGAAATTCAAGAGATTTAGGATTTATTCTTTAGAGCATTAAAAATAGTAAATGTTAAATAGAACCTCACGTTAGCAGTACATTTCTTGAAGTAATACGACTAGAAGAAGACAGGAAAAGGTAAGATGACACAACAATAATTATGGTGACAGGTAATCAATATTCAAATCAGTACCGTTGAAAATTAAATATTTTGATTGGTGGTTTTATTTTATACTCACAAACACCATGTTATTAAGTAATTGAATATAATCCTTGAAATATCTATAATCATACTTTAAGTTACCAATTAACAATATGATTCTATACATTTTACTGTGTTTGAAACACCTATAAATTATGTTTCCAGATGTATAAGAAAGAAAGATAACCAACATTTCCCTACAATTAATATTTTATGTTACTATAATTGAGTTGAAGTGATCATATATCCAGTTTCTTGACAATTCTACTAATGTTATTACTCATAGTATTTGTGGTAGTTAGCAAATCAACAAAATAAACACCAATTCTAAGCACATAACAATACCAATGACTTGGCTTCCAAATGTTTTGTGCATTACATACAAATTTCTAATCAGAAAAGAAAGTCAATTATTAAACATTTCTAAAACAGGACTCAGAATTCCAACAGTTCCACAATAGTGACTTTAAAAATATTTGTGACAAACTGTTAGAATGAAGTAATTGAATCACTAGTCATATTTTTCTCTTCCTACATTCTTAAGGATAGGATATCTATTCTTTCATTTTCCTCTACTACAACTGGTGGGGGAGGAGGAAGAAAAATGATAATGTTGAAAGAATTTTGAATAAGGTATTAGTAAAACTGAGTTTCAGTTCTAGTTTGCCTATCTTTCAAGCTGTGTTTGTTTCAGCTATCTATTGTATCATTATAAATTACCCTAAAACCTAGTGGCTTAAAAATAAAGTAATAATTCTTTTGCTCACAAATATTCCATTTTGGCTGGGCTTGGTGAGGGCAGCTAATTCAATGTGTTGTCATCTAGAATGGGTCAACTATGACTGAAGGATGCAATTCAAGTTGGCTGGCAAGTTAAAGCTACTATTAGCGAGGAGTCAGTTCTCATCAATGTGAGTGACCCTCTTCATTGATTGTGTGGGCATTTTCTAAGAGCAAATATTCTAAGAGGCAAGAAGTGAAGAACTGAAGAACTCTGAAGAACTGGAGATTTGAAGAACTGAACTCTCTGAAGAACTGGCCAGGAAACTGGTACGGCATAACTTCTGCCAAAATCAACTGGTCAAAGCAATCTCAGAATCCGTCGCAATTCAAGAAGAGAGGACACTCAGTGGTATGCTTGTAAATTCTCTCTTATGAAAAAAAATCCCTGTCTGCAATATACACCAGTTTCTGTGGTGTAAATATTCTCATGATGGCAGAATTTGAGCTACCAGTATTATGCCATTGAACACAGAGTTGGAAAGCAATGAGAAAAATCTGCTTATGTGAGCTGGTACAAGCAGGTTCCACGACACTACTTCCCACATCCGAACTCCCAATGGCAGATACTATGGCCATGTTTAACCAGACACATATTGACAATGTCAATGAAGTTTTGTGAACTTTTTCATTGCTAAGTTAGGAAGAGTGTCTGTACTGCTTCACAAATTTTGTGTTAGGCAAAAAGATAGGTTATAATTTTTTGTTTTCTTTTTTTTTTTTTTTTTTTTTTTTTTTTTTTTTTTTTGAGATGGAGTCTTGCTCTGTCGCCCAGGCTGGAGTGCAGTGGCACGATCTCGGCTCACTGCAAGCTCCGCCTCCCAGGTTCACGCCATTCTCCCTCCTCAGCCTCCAGAGTAGCTGGGACTACAGGCGCCCGCCACCACCCCCCGGCTAATTTTTTTGTATTTTTAGTAGAGACGGGGTTTCACCGTGTTAGCCAGGATGGTCTCGATCTCCTGACCTCGTGATCCGCCCACCTCGGCCTCCCAATCCCAAAGTGCTGGGATTACAGGCGTGAGCCACCGCGCCCGGCCAAGATAGGTTATAATTTAAAACACTTTGAAGTGTAACCACTTTGTTATTAGAAGCTATTCTGAAATTGTGTCATTAATGATAGTGATGTTTCTCCATAATATAAAGTGTTACTTCATCATCTACTTTTTATACTGAAACTAATGAACACTGTAGAAATGTTTTAAGTTATAGCTCACATTCTGGTGAAAATATTGTATTTTATTCACAGAAAGTTCTCAAAAATATACACGTCTTAAATATAGGAATTCTATTTGTATCTGACTAAATCTACAGATTTTAGTAATCTCTTTTACATGTAGGGTAGAGGAGGTCCCAGAATGCAGGTCTCTTAATTTGCATAGTAGAGTTTTTCTCCTTAAAATATAGTGATACAACTGGCTTCTGATCTCAAAGAACAAGTAACAGCGATAATGAGAAGCACTTGTTTTAATGTGGTCTTTTTCTGGATATTCTGTCTGGAGATTTAAATTTGTATGTAAGTACTATGTCAAGGTTTGAAAATACACAAGGAACATGAGATAGAAGTAAACATCTGAAATGAAGGTAAGCCAACAATAAAGGTTTTCAAAGATAGATACCCTGAGTACTTCATGATTTATATACAAAAAAAAATGAGGAGAAATAAAGAAAATTAAGATATAGTGGTCAATTAGGTCCAAAACTAAATAAAATCCTTGGAGGTCAAGGGAAGAAAAGGCTTCTTTCCTAATCTGAGAATTATATCAGATGCTGCTGTGCCTCAGGATAAGGACAGAGAATTGACCATAATATTCAGCAACTTGAAATCATTGGTGATCTTGACAACTCAACTAAACGTATTTTGATGTGATGACAGTGACAAAAGTTTGGCTGGAGTGGATTTAAAGGAGATAGAGAAATGGAAACAAAATGAGAGAATGGATACATGAAGGATATATAAAGTTGTGAAATTTTGTTGCAATGGAAGGGAAAGAAATGGGTATTAGTTGAGTGTTATATAGGTAGAAAAATGTTGAATATTTGAAGCCAGAAAAAAAATAGTTATCTTTCACATTGGGAGAGTGGATGACTTAGAGAAATATGATTGTAAAATAGTAGTGAAGTTTCAACTGAAATTATTGATCATGAATTTAAATCAGAAGATTCAGCAAAATTTTGTTTCTTTTAGCCGTATTTATCAAGTTACTATTATAGATCAGGGCCAGGGTTGTATTTTGGCCATATGAGTGTAAAAAAGGGTTCCAAGAGAATGAGGGTGTTTGAAACACAATGATTACCATGATTATTCATGTTAATCAAATTCAGGTTAACCAAAACAAATAAATGTTGTTTTGTACATGTGAACATGCGTTTTTATGTATCAAGATCAGCAAACAAAACCCAACTTTTACCAAGTGACACAGCAATGATTCCAAATAATTGGGAATTTAGTATATCTTGTGACCTCTTTGGGTCATTCATGTAAGTAAATAAAACGCAAGGAAGAGATCACTGTATTACATGGGATAGTTGATTCTGATTATAAAGGAGAAAGTGGGATAATACTAGCAAATGGGGTGCAAGAAGGAGAATGTTTTGCTTTCTGAGGTTCCTATGGGTATCTACATATCCGCAACTAATGTCAATGAGAAATCATATGAACCCAGTAGAGTGAGGATGTCTAATAACCCATACACTTTAGGAATAAAGGTTTTCCTCATTCAACCATACAAGGAACCACAACCAGCTGAGGTAACTGCTGAAGAATATAAAATAGTAGTCAGGAAAGGCAGTGAAAAACACTCATTATGGCCTCATGACTAATATGATTAAATGAGGATCATATTTGTTATGAGTGTTTCATCTTTATTTCAATAAGGGATGTATTCACATAATTTAAGCATTTTTCCTTTCCTTCTATTCTCTTATCAACTAACAAAATGTGCTAATAGTAGTTAATCTTATATCTCAATATTTAGGTTACAGGATGTCAAAGAGGAAGTGTGACTCATCCTGAAGAGAAATAAGCATCAGCTAAAAATAAAATAATTTTGTAAATTTATTTAGGAAGAGGTTAGTATGAAAGGGACAACTGAATCATATTAGGAGGAAGCATGATTTTGGAATTTATGTTTGGTTAATGAGGATGTGTATAGTTTCCAAGATGGCAAGAGATACACCTTGACAGCTTTTTACTGTGTCAATTTACCTAAGCTAGAACAATGTGACTCAGACTTTCCTTCCCTTTATGCTCCTCAGGCAGGGCTGGCCACTATAGAAAATTAGGTGTGGAATTTGGAAGGTGGACATAAACAACAGCTTGATCAAGGCTCAAAGGGTCAGTGTAATATCAGACACATTGTAGCTCATGCATAGTGTTGTAGACTTCCTGACTCACCTTGTTGGTGTAAAGCAGTAGCGAGGCTTCCAACTCCTCCACCATCTGACAGATTTCCTTCTTCAGCTTCCCAGTCCTGGTCTAAGTATGTGTCTATGCCCTTGGCAAATAGTACCAGCTTTTGTCTGCAGATTACCCATATCATTGAAGTTGGACAGTTGGAGGTACTGAGAGACCACTATGCTTTCTAGTTCATACTCATAGGTTCTAGTTCATACTCATAGGTTCTAATTCATCCTCACAAGTTCAAACTTGTTCTTGCCCTCCCTTATATTTGTTTCCTCACATACTTCTTAACTTCTTCACTTCAGATCCTGCACCAGATACAGAAGGAACATTGGTAAATGAATTGTTTAACTACTCCCACAATTGCATAAACAAACCCTAGTAATAACTATTTTGTTATATGCCATTCTTAGTCATCCTTCTCTAATTGATCTCTGATACAAATACCCACACACTGAGCAAAGTTTTGAAAACTTCTCTTCTCTAGAGAATCTCTTTGATTTAAATCTATCATTGATTTCAAAAATTTCTGTAGAAATTTTCAGTATTTTTTAGTCATTGAAATATGGTATGTAATAAAGTAATATTTATGATAGAGTAACAAATATTTTCTCCCTTTAACAGAATATTATGTTTTTAATTTACTGTATATTAAATTTTTTTAATCCATAAAATTTAAAGTGTTATATCAAATTAATATTAGAGACCAAATAAAAACTAGCTTATAGAAACATGCCCAACACAGTGGCTCATATCTATAATCTCAGCACTTAGAGAGGCCTAGGCAGGAGGATCTCATGAGGCCAGGAGTTTGTGACCAGCCTGGGCAACATAGAGAGACCTCATTTCTAGAAAAAAGTAAAAAGTAAAAAAATAAGAAACAAAACTTAGCTGGGCATGGCAGTATGCACCTGTAGTCCCTGTTACTTGGGAGGCTGGGGCAGAAGGGTCACCTGGGCCCAGGAGATCGAGGCTGCAGTGAGCCATGATTGCACCACTGCTCTCCAGACTGGGTGACAGAGTAAGACCCTGTCTCTGAAAAAAAAAAAAAAAAAAAAAAGAAATTTACCAAGTTTAAGATAATAAAAATTGATACAATTTGCTTTTCTAATCAATTGGCCAATCTATTTTCATACTTTTATTTATTTGTTTATTCTAAACTATCAATAAGATGAAAGTGAATATTTCAGGCCACTCTTGCCTGAATTTCATTATATATAGTAGTATTCTTCCCAATATACAATAAAAATATATAAAACAACTGCATTTTCTAATTTTTATTTTAGTTTTGAATTATGTATGTCTGTTATAAAAGTGTTTATGAAACATATATGACTTTTGATCAAGTAAGCTAATTTTTAGACTTAGTGAAGATTATTATAATGGAAATTTAACCCAAGGGAAAAAGAGAGAAGAAGGTTATACAGATCAAACAATATGAGACGAGGATTGATAAATGGTTAAACTCTATGAAATTACTTGTGGTAGGCCCTCAAATAACTTCAGGATGGGGCCTGATCACGAAAAAGACTAACCACATTAGAGGGTTTGAACTTTGAGCTAGCCTAACTTCCAGGGGTGGGGAGGTGCCCAGTGATTTAATAAATTATGCCTATGTAATGAAGCCTTGATAAAACCCTGTACACCGAAGCTCAATGAAACTTACTGGTTGGTAAAACCCATTGATGTGCCAGCCAGTGATATATGTTGATTCCAAGAGATAGCTCAGAAGCTCTGCATTCCCTCTCAGAACTCATGCATATGAGGACCCTTTTTAGTAAATCTGTAATATATGCAGAGCACTTCCCTGTGTTCTGTATCTTTCTAGCAAATTATCAAACCTTAGTGCATCACAGAAACCTTCAAATTTGTAGCCATTTGCTCAGAAGTTCAGATGGTCTGGAGACTGCTCTGAGAATTGCAGCGCCCATCTGAAGTGACAGTGGTCTTATGGAGGATGTTGCCCTTAACTTGTGGGGTCCGTGCTAACTCCAGGTAGTTAGTGTCAGAATCAAATTGCAGTACACTCTGTTATTGTTGGACTAGTTGGGCTAAACATAATAATTGTCTCTTCAATAAGTCATAAATTTCTTTTGACATATTCTTTCAGATATAGCCTCTTATTTCTCCAACATCTGTCCCTACTCTCTAATTCAAATTGGTTTTGTAAAAACACCAACATGATTATATTCTAAACATAGCTTGCTTCTCTTCATGCCTATGCTCATGTCACCCTCTGTCTAGAATGTCCTTCTTACAGTACTTAGGTATCGTCAAGTACCATTGACTGATTCTTTTATACTCAGCTTGGTAATCACTTTTCTAGGATGCTTTCCCAACCATTTTGCCACCTACGCCCACTGCCAAAAGTTTGAATAAGGTACATTTTTAGTATTTTCATCAACCCTATAACCATCTCTATTACTGTACTTGTGCAGTATTTTATAGTGCTCATGTAATTCTTTCCCACAACATGCTGTTAGCTCTTCACAAAAATAATTTTATCTTTCTGTTTTTCTATCCTAGAACGTAGCTCAATAATTGCACCCAATGGCTATTGAATAAATTATTTGTCATTGGACTTATTTGAAGAAAGTCAATGTCTCTGTATTTGCCTTTATAAAATGTTCATTTTGGTTCTTTAGATCTAAGTTTAATATGTGATTTATTCTTTGGAAGTAAGTTATTTTTATACTTTAATTAATTTTAAATAAAGGTTTTTTTTCTGTTAGATGAGGAGCATTGTTTGCTTTCTGTTACTTTTTCTGTAATTTTCCTTCATGTTCAAATCAATCTGCTCCAGTCGCTCTGTGCATGAATGAACACAATTATGTGTGTTTTTTCCTCCCAATTTAAAATGTCCTTAGACATCCTCATAAAAATATTTTATAATTACATTGTAATTTTGGTATATGAAGGCTAGATAATAACATATATTAATTAACCTTGGCAATATTTATTACTGATATAAGATTAGATCTTTATGAAAGGATGGCTCATTTTGCCATTCCTCTTTTGAAGATTAAGCTTGATGGTAATACAAATATCATATTTATCATCAAGACTGTCAACTGTTGAATAGTGAAATAATCCTTAATTATTCTATTGGAGTGCATCTTCATTATTTCATGTTGATTACCTTTTTTCCTCTCCAGTGTATATGCAGCAGACTAGTTTTGGTCCAACAAACAGTAAGACTGTGTCTCTATAATGTCAGTTATTTACATGATGAGTAAAATTCAATTACTCTAAAACTGATAACTGGTGTGCAATTAGAGAACTGAAGCTAGAAATTTGCTTTCTTGTTTTTTCTTAAGATTAAAGCTGAAATGATGTAGGCCTCTGGACTCTCGCTGTAAAAGTAGTTAAAAATAATAATCAGAATCTGCTAGGAGAAAAACTTTCAGAAGAACTAGAGTATAAGTACCCTGATCATAATAAATATTTTAAGTCTTGTGTACAGAGTATAAAATGATACATTATATCTATATATACCATTTTATTTTCTCCCAAGCTACTTCTTTGCAATTATGTAGACATGGGTTGAATGTATTTACATTTAAGGTTCTCCCTTTCATTCATGTTACTGCCCATTTGCAAGTTCTATTATGCTTGAAAATTAAAATAATATATAATTTCTATCTTAAAAAGAGTTTTAAATTACCCTTAGAATAGGATATCAAATAGCAGCAGCAGAAAGGATGCCCTGGTTAGGACTCTACACAAATGTTATCACTCAACAATATTTCTGAGTGAATGAATGAATATATATACGCATGGGATGAGAATCACTCCGTGTTATGAAAAAATGCCTACAAGTTACCACCAGATCCATTCCATTTATCTATTTGTACACATGTTATTTTAGATTAAAACATTTTTGTATTTCTAATAATCTATCTTTTCTACTGGATTCTAGAAAACTTGATCCCATTTCTCTGGTTTTTAGGTTTCACTCTTCCATAAATATTGAGCTCATGACACCTCCTCATTGGTGCCCCTGGCTCAAACTTAATTTCCCTTTTTTTATTACTAGTGACAGCATAGCACAATTTACTACCTTATTATTCTCTAATTTTATGTAAACTTTGCTTATCTAGTTCAGTAGATAGCTCTTTTAAATCACCAATAAGGTTTTATTTTTCTGTTTTTTTTTCTTCCTTCAAGGAACAACCCAAGAAATATGGCAGCAAATGTTGAATGGGTATATTATACCTGCATGACTAATTAATTAAGTCATTGATTGACTGAACTTTCTACTCAGTGTAATCTCTTCTAAGCAATCTTCCAAAGTGAAAAGACAGCCCTGGGCTAATATATTTAAACAACATTGGATAATAATGCCTCTTCCCTTGTCAGTTTAGACTTATTCATATGTAAATGAATAGTTGCATATATGTGACTCTGTCATTTGAATATGGAGAAAGAGGAAAAGCAGAAAAAAAGAGACAATATAAACATCACCACTGTAAAGAACATTAGCTCTGAAGCCAAAATGCCTGTATTCTCACCTCAGCTCTGTCATATATTAGCACTTTTATCTTGAGAAAATTACTTAACTTCGGTGTCTTAATGTCCTCATTCAGAAAACGGGGATAATTTGTAACCATTTCATACCTTTCTTCATGGAGAATAAATAGGAATTCAATGTGAAGTAGCCAGAATAATACTCAAATATATATGTGTTAAAATATATATAGGATAAATGATAAGCTGTTTGTATATGCATTACAGATATACACATAGTTCATACTTTACCCTATATTGTGATCACCATAATATTGTCATTCTTAGACATTCTTTCAAGACTCCTTGAGAAGTTTCTTTTCTTTTTTTTTTTTTTTTTTTTTTTTTTTTGCGACGGAGTCTCACTCTGTCAACCAGGCTGGAGTGCAGTGGCAAGACTCAGCTACTCAGCTCCACCTCTCACCCCCACACCCCCCGAGTGATTCTCCTACCTCAGCTACCTCAGTCTCCCAAGTAGTTGGGATCACATATGCACAGCACCATGCACAGCTAAGTTTTTGTATTTTGGGTAGAGACGGGGTTTCACCATGTTGGCCAGGCTGGTCTCGAACTCCTGAGCTCAAGCCATTCACCCGCCTCAGCTTCCCAAAGTGCTGTGATTGCAGGCATAAGCCACTAGGCCAGACCCTTGACAAGTTTCTTTGGGGATGTTTAATAGTTAGAAAAAAACTAAGTCAACTCCTGGGAAAGAACGCACTATCAGGGAACAGGTTTTAATAGTTACTATATTTAGCCTGAGCTAGTACAAATTCTCAGGGTCAGGAAAAGGATGGTTTGAGTACCAAAGAGCATGTGTCATTTTTTAATTTATTTAATTATTTTATTGTAGATTCACGGGGTACATGTGCAGGTTTGTTACATGGTTACATTGTGTGATGATGAAGTTTGGGCTTCTAATGATCCAGTCACCCATGTATTAGGTAGGTACAGAAATAATTGTGATTTTGCCATTACTTTTAATGGAAAAACCACAATTACCTTTGCACCAATCTAATATTAAACATGGTACCCTATGGGTACCACCCTTGTCCTCTTCCCTTCCCCCTCTCTTTTATATTACCTTACAATTCAGCTTGCGGTGACTGACTGATGCTCGAGTTTTAGGGAGAAAGAAATGTGGCAAGAAAATCTCTATCTGACTTTGAAGGGAAAAGCAACATAGCCCTGTAGCCCACTTATAGAAGCATAAGAATTATTGTTGGTAAGGGAAGAGACCATCCCTCATATTGTCTTATGCCCAATTTCTGCCTCCAAAGAAAGGAAAAGTAAAAACTAAAAGGCAGAAATGAAATCCACAAGCAGACAGCCCCGGGCCACACTCTAGGCCTGGTAGTTAAAGACCGACCCCTGACCTAATCGGTTATGCAATCTATAGATTACAGACATTGTATAGAAAAGCACTGTGAAAATCCCTATCCTGTTTTGCTCCGATCTAATTACCAGTGCCTGCAGCCCCCAGTCACGTACCCCCTGCTTGCTCAATCGATCACGACCCTCTCAGGCGCATGCTCGTAGAGTTGTGAGCCCTTAAAAGGGACAGGAATTACTCACTCAGGGAGCTCGGCTCTTCAGACAGGAGTCTTGCCAATGCCCCCGGCCGAATAAACCCCTTCCTTCTTTAACTCGGTGTCTGAGGAGTTTTGGATGCGGCTTCTCCTGCTACATTGGCAAATGATGACATAGACACAACCGCTTAAGATACATCCAGTATGAGGAATGGCTGGCAAGTAAATTAGTTTATGAGTCACTAGTGCAAGAGTTAGCTAGGAAATTAGACTTTGCAGTGATTTAGAGTTGTTTGTGGTTTTGGGGTAATTTTCTAGCATTTCCTATCATTTTTGGTAGAACTGATCCTACTATTAGTAGTAGGAGTTTTTAATGTCAAAAAACAAAAGAAGATTAAAAGTTAGACCTCAAAGAGTAATTCACTAAATATTATATGGCTTGCTTAAAAATTTTACAAAGTGGAACAGAAATAACACGTAAGTTTTCCTTCTGATCCAGAATTTTGTACCATGCTTTCCTCCCATCATTACCTAGATTTTCATATATCATTAGTGATCAAAGTCACTAGGAAGATTTTTCAAAAATCCTGAGTCTAGTCATTGAAAATTTGACTCATTATATCAATGGCTGGTCCGAGAAGCCATAGTTTTTGTAAATCTTTTTTTCTGAATCTGAGACATGGTCAGCTTTGGAAGCCACTAACCTAGACTGTTAAATGATTGCTCTTAAATTTTATTCTTTATCTTGTTTTGGAATCAGCTAGCATAGGTAAGTATCCTAGGGTCAGCCATGTATTAGCTGTATAATCTAAGACAACTTTTTAGAATTTTATAATTCTCTTCTTTGAAATGATGGAATAAGACCTATTAGGCAGCAGTGTTCGGAAGACTAAAGATAATGTGATATGATCTGTCATATGTACTCAACGAATGATATTTCTTATTAGGTCAAAATGATGTGGTAATAAAAATAGCCCCAACATGTTATAAATGTTCATTAACAAGCCTTAGATATATATATATATATATATATATATATATATATATATATGTGTGTGTGTGTGTGTGTGTGTGTGTATATATGTGTATATATATGTGTGTATATATATGTGTGTATATATATGTGTGTATATGTGTATATATAGTGATTTTTATATATAGTGATTTATATGTGTATTATATACATATATGTATATATATACATATATAATCTTACAATGGTATATTTTAAGAGCACTTTCTTATAACAGTTTTTATATACTTGAGATAGGCTTATATCATTACAATTCACAATTTATAACAAACAGTTGAAAAAAAGTCAAAACTGAGATTTTACTGAACTGAAATTCTATTTTATTTGTCAAAATACATAAGTTATTAAATAAATGAAACATCTTTCACAGGTAAACTACTTAGTTTATTGAATTAACTAACAAGAAGGATTAATATTCACTATTTTAATTGTAAGAACAGTCTATCTCATTATTTTTACAACGAGCTGATTATTATTGTTAGGTTTGTTATGTTTTCTTAATACTACTTTGAAAATTAAATCCAAATATTTAAATTATTTAATATGAGTTAAATCTTGGAGTTGGCCAGTTGATTTCCACTTTTAGGATTTTGAACAAGTCATAAAATCTATGTAACTCAGATTTCCAGTTTGCAAAGTACTATTTACTTTATGTTTTATTATTTCTGTTTTATGAATTATTCCAAAATATGCTATTTTACTACCCAGCTTTGAAATATTTTACTATCAGAAATATTGTATAGTTATGAAATTGAGGTTCACTATATGAAAAAATTAATATACAACATCAAATTTAATTCAGTTCTATATCTTCCTATGAACTAATACAAAGATTAAAATGGTTGATATTTATAATATTAGAATTTTCTATTTTATCTGAAGTCATTTATCAAAACCTATTTCTATAAAGTGCCTTGAATACTTTTACGATACACACACACATACAAACATGTATATACTATATACACGTTTTTTGTTTTCACAAAACATTCTTTAGTACAAATAGTTTCAACTGCTTCATGTTTGCAATCAGATTATATCATTCATAAAGATTGTTACCAACTGGCATTTTTGTTTTGCTTTGTAAATATATATTATATATAAGTATATATATGTTAATATAAAAGCTAGTAAGTGTATACACATTGTTTGTATACACAATGACATATACATTCAATTTGTTTTGGAAGATATGAATAAACATTTTTTATTCAAAAATTTAGCTGTTTAAGAGTTTAAATTAAAGAAAACTTATTTACTAAAGACCTTTACATACTTTTGCAATTTTTCCTAGTCCTAATTTACAATGTTCATGGCCAAGATCTGTATTATAATCAGCATTACTATTCAATGTAATTCAGAGAATCAGCACATGTAGTCCTAATATTGAATCATATTTTATAATTCTCTATTCTATTACAAAGACTCCAAAGTGCGGTATGCAATGCACTTGAAAGATGTTATTAAATTTCTATAGCAACAAACAGCAAAAAAAAAAAAAGTGACGGAATTATAACAGATATGCTGGATCTGCTTGACATTCAAATTATGTTAGGATAAAGATGTTTCTGATCATGAATGGAAGCATACAAGTAGAAAGAAGAAATAAAAAATATGTAATCCTTATATTCAAGGCAGTTCAAATAGAGAAGCAAATATCTAATTTAACGAGAAGCAGAGTAAATCAGTATTGTACTACAAGTACAAATATTCACACTGATTATAAGAATTTTCATTTGTGTGAGGAAATAGTCTTCTTCATAAAGAAATTTATGTTCAACTTTAGAAGATAATAAGTTTTAAGGAAATAGAGAAGGAAGTAAGGAAAAAAGGGAAGAATTTTAGAAAAGACACATAGTAGGAAGAGTACCATATGCTCCTCTTCTCAGAAAATGGCAAATTGGCATTTGACTGAAGAAAGATTTGGGGATAAAATACGAAATAAAAAAGGGAAAAGTCAAGTGACATATCATATTCCTCATGGAATATGGAAAGGTCCTCAACCTTTCCAGCGAAATATAAGGAACTTGGTCTTTTATACTCACCAAACAGTTGTTAAGAGAGTAATGCTTTAATTTAAATTGTGTTTTAGCATACCAGCTATGCAGAGCACAAAGAATAAAGTAGGAGACTCAATTTTGGGTGAATAATTAAACCACTATGAGGCAAGGAGCACTGAAATTTTGAATAAGCAGATGAAGTAGGAAGAAAGAAGGAAATACAAAATATTAAAACAACTTATTTTATGTTTAAAGGTGAGGTTAAATGAAAGCAGTGACTTTGAGATTTGTAGCCTTGGTGACTGAGAGGATATGACAACACAAAATAAAATATTATCGTACAAAAACCAAAATCAATTTAAGAATCCTACAAAATAATGTATGATTTTCTGAAAATCAACTAAAATTACTATTTAAAATATCTTATTATTTATGAGATATTTATTTAGAAAATCCAAAACTTTATAAATTTTAGCATATTAGAGATCTAAGCACCAAAAAGTAAGTGGCTTCATTTAAAATAAAAGAGATTTGTACACGTAACAATCCATTAAATACCACCCTCACTATTAAGTCTCTTGAATATGATTGGGACATTCCCCCACGATAAAAATAGTTAATTCTCAGAGGTCATATTAGATGACATGATTTAGTTTACTAAACGTAGTTAAACATAGTTTACTATGTTTAAAACCTTTCTCAGCTGGGTGCAGTGGCTCAAGCTGAGTAATCCCAGAACCGCGTAATCCCAGCACGTTGGGAGGCCAAGGCAGGTGGATCACCTGAGGTCAGGAGTTCGAGACCAGCCTTGCCAACATGGTGAAACCCTGTCTCTACTAAAAACACAAAAATTAGCTGGGCATGGCAGGGCATGCATGTGGTCCCAGCTACTTGGGAGTCTGAGGCAGAAGAATCACTTGAACTCAAGGGATAGAGGTACAGTGAGCCGAGATGGCACCGCTGCACTCTACCCTGGGCAAAAGAGCAAGACCCCATCTCATATTAAAAGAAAAAAAAAAAAAACTTTCTCACCTCAGTATTTAATAAGTGGCTGTTTTTTCAGGCTGTTGCTTCATAATAGAAAATAAAGAGTCATGTGTGATCTTCGTTGTGAGTACCTGTAAATGTTACAAAATTAGAAAACTATTCATTAAATGTTAGATGCAAACAAGTGTGATGAAACTTCCTATGTTTTGATAATGGTGTATAAAAGAAATTCACAGAAACTGCCTAACTTCGATTTTACTTAATCTCTTCAATCTCCCTATACTAAAAATTTAACCAAATGATTTAATATTAGCTAAAATTCCCCTGATTCAATGTGTCCTCTGACACAGATGCCAGCACAATATCAAGCGGCCAAAACACTTGCAAGGCAAGAATCCAAAAAAAGAAAAAAAAGATGAAGAAGTAGTTATTAATTTTAAACTAATTTATAAACTTGTGCATGAAAAGGATGTGGATTAATTGAGCTATTTACCAATTCCTAATATGATGGTAATTTCATGACATAAAATGTTTAAATTTAGTTAAATAAAAAAGACTAGGCTTGTATAGCTCTATTAATGATTCATTTATGACTTTGGAAAATTTATAGGTCTCCTCTATGTGTGTTGCAGGTTTTATGACATAAGGATACTGAATCTAAAAGAAATGAGTAAAATATGAGGTTACATGCTTATATTAGCCTTGAAAATTATTAATGACAGTAATTGGAAAGGAATAACAAAAAAAAATGGTAAATCCTGGTTCTAACCAAAGTTTCCTTTAAAATCTAATCTGTTAGTTTTCCTATAGGTTGCTATTATCTTCATTAACCTAAAAGCCTTTCGAAGACATGTGCTTTAGAAACATATCCTAAAAATTGCTAATGATGGAGAAAGAATCCAGCACATTTGTAGTTTTCTAGACACTAGCTAATGTGTTCTCTACTTTATTAGGCTTAGCTTTAAAACGTGGAATATAAAGAAAAGGAAGATTGATTTAATAAAGTTAGGCTGGGTGCCATGGCTCACACCTATAATACCAGCACTTTGGGAGGCCAAGGCGGGTGGATCACAAGGTCAGGAGTTCAAGACCAGCCTCGGCAATATGGTGAAACCCCGTCTCTACTAAAAATACAAAAATTAGCCAGGCATGGTGGCGGGTGCCTGTAGTCCCACCTACTCGGTAGGCTGAGGCAGGAGAATCGCTTGAACCCGGGAGGTGGAGGTTGCAGTGAGCCAAGATCACACCACTGCATTCCAGCCTGGGCAACAGAGCAAGACTCTGTTTAAAAAAAAAAAAAATAGACTAAGTTAATTGGATTAAAGAATCTTCAGATTGGGAAAAATACATATGGGGATCTAGCCTGAAAGCATGGCATTATAATAACAGCTACTATTTGCTACAAGCCCATAAGCCAAAGTACCAGAGTCTTAACGTCATTTATTTAATTGTCACATTTTAATAGGTGTTATAATTAACAAATTTTATTTTATGGATGAGGAACCTGAGGCCCAGCAAGCATCATTAGTTCATTAAAGCCTATCCTGCTTGCACATGGGAGGTCCAGTGTTTTCACATACAAATATTTAACTGTCAATACTTTCATCTTTCTGCTACCCTATTCCTCAAATAAACTATTTAGTGTAAAATATTGGTGTTAGGTGCATTAAGGTCAGCGTTTGTCTATAACTCTGAGATGTTTTCTTCCAACAGATGGATTGCCTGTTGACTATGCCCAGCTTTTCCTTTAATTTTTGAACCTCAGTGAATTATTCAACAAATGTAAATAGTATCACTTTTATACAACTATAATTAAATTTAGAATCTTTGTCCCAGATTTAAATTAATCAATTGTCAGAGTACATCTTTTTCTATTGTCTTTTATTTAACCTTAATAAAGGATCAAAGTGACTAGCACAACCTCTACAACATTAACTCTAATTTGAGCCTTTGACACCTGCATTTTAAGGTCTTCATAGTTTTATCTTCGTAGGCATAATGATTCGTTTTGAAAAGATGAATATGAACTGGGTTATCAATACAACCATATAATTATATTTCAGTGTGTGTTCTTCTTTCTCAGTCTCTATTCCTGCTTGTAATCAGTATTAGTTTGCATGTTTCAAAAACATTTAACATAAATTAGAGGCCCGAGAATGGGCTTTGCATGCTAAAGATGTGGCTTCCTGGAACTTCTTTGTATAAATTTTCAATCATCTACTTTGCTCTTATATAGATCTTTGATTTATCTTTGATGCATTCCACCATTTATATAAAATTTAGAGATTGATTTAGGCATTAAATTTCTGAAGGAGGTGAAAGCAGCTCATCATTTTTCTTCTGCTTAAAAGAGTTAGATCTACATTAAGATCATTTTCCATTTCTCTTGGGCCTTTTAAATTGTGTTCTTAGGTGAGAACAATGAATTACCTGACAGAAAAAGGTTTCACCTGCACTGCCAAACTTCCATTGCATGATAAAAGGATCTTACGCAGTTTTTATGTAGCCCGTAATGGCTGCTGGCAGGCAACTGTGACAGGCAAGGACCAGACAGCACCTTTATTTCACAGATCACACAAAACAGCTAGTGCACCAGGGAAAGGGGTGCAATGAAGGGTAACTCCAACTCACTTCATTTGGAGGAGACATGGCTTACATTTACCTTTCCAACTTTGAACAAAATTGCAGGATTGCAATAAACCAAACTTTCCAAAAGGAAAAATGGTTTGGAAGATTACTTGAACTAGTAATAAATGTATCATAAAATGTAAGAATAATGTTATTAATATATAAAATTGTTCAGGATGAACCTTGAAAACATGATACTAGGTGAAAGAAGACAGACAAAAGGCCATATATTACATAACTCCATATATACGAAATGCCGAAACGGGCAAATCAATAAAGATAGAAAGTAGATTGATACCGGGGATAGAGGAAGGGGGAGGAAGGTGTAGGGAGGGACTGCCAACAAGTACGTCTTTCTTTTTAGAGTGGTAAAGGTCTTGTGGATTAAATAATGGTGATGGTTGTACAACTTTACAAATACAGCAACGGCAACTGAAATGGACACTTTAAACAACTGAATATTACGGTATATTAATTATACTTTAAAAAATAGTCCCAGATGTAATATTTTGAAGATGTTCAAAGCTAAAAAATCTAGGGAAAAAAATAGAAATTTGACAAAATGCTACAAAGTCAAAATTTAATAAGAACGCATATTCTAAAGTTAATTATTCTCAGACACTTGAAAAACCCTTAAACTAGAATGTAAAGTTAAATATTCCAGACAATAGCTGAGACATGAAGTTCTAAAGTTTTCAAATATATTTCCTTTTATAATAAGTATGAGATTTGAAATCCAGGAGTCCCTAAACTCTTAGCCTAAAAGTACTGAAGAATTAGCCTCACAAGGCACGCATATAAAATAGCCGTTGTGGTGGTGTTGTGACTCAAGCAAAACAGTAGCAACAACAACAGCAACAACAAAAACAGCCAAGTAAGCCAGGGTTAATGTTTGTATTGGTGCTATTTATTCTAATTCTAATTTTACTTTCTAGTATGGATACATACTTCAGTGTCATAATATTATTCTGAAGATTAAAATTCTGTGACCATAAGAACCTAACTTTCTTCTCTCTTTCTCTTTCTGTCTCTCTTGAAAATGTGCACTCTAAGAAGCTTTGTTTTAATGAAATGGCATAGTAAAATAGCTTTTTGCCAAATAAAACCATTAAGTTTATATAATAATATTATAGCGATTTAAATGCACTGTTGGTAAGTATATTGCTTATTGAAAAGCAATCGTGTTTATGGCTTACTCAAAACTTTATTTTTTCCCCCACGCACATTCAAATGCAGCTGAAACCACAGTAAAATTTTGGCAATGTAGAAACTCTGGCCAAAAATGTATATTAGTCATGCAAATTCCTTCATTACATATTTTTCAGCAGAAAAGAATAATTCAAACAAAGCATCTTATTTCCTGCACCTGTATTGTTCACACGTTGAATGGCACATAAAAATAAATGTTTTACATTCTGATTTGCAGTTACTTATTCTTATTTCCTAAGCTAGCTCTTTAATGACACAGTGAAAATGTGTTTCAGTATCATGAAGCTAACATTTTAAGCCTAATAGGAAAAGAACTCACGGAAAAACATAAAGAGTAACAGTATAAGATATTTTAAACTTGAAAATAAGAAAACTGTAATAGATACTATTTACTAAGCATCTATTAGAAAGCAAGTTTTTATAATATACAATATCAAGTAATTCTTCATACTTGCAATTCATCATCAAAAACAAAAGTGTGAATTTATAATGCAGTTAAACTTTCTCAAAATCAAACCATTTAATAAGTAGATGTTAACATGTTAACATTTTAATAAGATTATATCGTATCACTTTGAATAAAATTCACCATAATATACAACTGATTATAGGACACACACACACAAAAACACACACACGACAAAATAAGAACAAAAAAATCTACCAAAGGTGCTATTTTGTAACCACGTATTTGTGACAGATATTTAAATTCTCCAATTGTCAAAGATGAATTATTATAGTCAATTCATTTTTTTACTCACAGAATTGTTGAAATGCACAAGAATGTTACCCTAGCATAGTGGCATAGTGATACAAAGCAGCATGAAATATCATAAATGCAACGTGTTTACACAGTTGGGTAATATTAAGTCCATTTACTTCAAGTGAGATAGTGTTATAGGCCTTGTTGTTACCATAATTTTTTGAGAAGGGAACAATATTATTACGAATAAAGCCATATGTTAATGAGAAGGTTAGTTAGCATTAGGTAGAATTTATTCATGGAATTTGAAGAAAAGATAGCATCATTTCCAAAAAAATTATTATATTGCAAATATATTTGGAAGCACAGACTGGTTACATATATAGATTCTGGGTATCTGTGTATTTCCTATCTCAATACCATTTGAATACAGTGAATGATAGTGTTCAATATTTTATAAATAAAAGCATTTTTCAAAATTTAAAAATAGCAAAAACACATTATCTTCAAAAGCTGCACAAAGTGTTTATAGTTATTTAAGTTCTGTTATATGTGTAACACATTCTCTCATTATTGTTTTTAGAACATTAATGGTATGTTCTACCATAATATGGTTTATTTAAAAATCCATTAAAATACACTCTTTACTTGTATACAAACGACAATTTCCATTTTCTTTGTATATATCCATTACAAAAATTTACTACATTATCACATATTAATGTATTTTTATATGTAAACCATTCCAGATTAAAGAATGCTAATAGGATTCTGATACTAAAATAAAAATACTATATGTATCAGATTTTGCATGACTAGCAATGACAACACTACATACTATTATGACCAAAATTTAAATAAAATCCAGCAAGGATCACTTTAGCCCAGGGGTTAGAGGATGCAGTGAGCCATGAACATGCCACTCTGACCTGGGTCACCAAAAATAATAACAATAAATAATTAATTAGAAATAAATAAAACTCAGCTAAACAGTCACACAAATATTTAAGATACCTGCCTTAATGAATAAATGAAAAGTTGAAAAAAAACTTCTGAAAATGAAACATTAAGTGCCATCTTCTACAAAGTTAGGTTGTGATTTGATGTACCCAGACCTTGATTTACTCTAGAAATATACTAGGATTATATTTTTATGGACAAAATAGGGAATAGGGCATTTATTTATTCGATGTCAATGACACTTGGTCTATGTCTCACTAGTTAACTAATTTTCAGCCAAATGAATCAGTCTTTATACCACAATGAGAGAGAGAGAGAGAGAGAGAGAGGATTAACATTTTAATGCTAGTACTAGATAGATACAGACTGTATATCCTTTCCAATTTAACTTAGAGCAGCTAGTCGAGATTTGCTTCTTTATTGAAGAAAACCTCCAAAATTAGGACAGCAATGTCCTTCATGCTTACAGCAAAGATAAATAATAAGACAAACTAACACAAATCAAGGGTAGGAAAGGCATATCACATTTTTTTGCTGTTGCTCTTATTTATATGCAGTTATTTTGTGTTTTTGTATAAATTTTGTATCTGGTGGCTGAATTCTTCAAGCCTACAGTTATAAAGTTCAACTATTGTCTGTTCAAGTGAAGCAATTAAAACATGGAGTGGAAAAGTATTTCCCAATTTACTAGTCTTATCTAACTCCAGCAAGAAGCAACTTCTCCTTGCTTTGTTATGTTAATCACAATAATGAGAGACTACAGGTGAAAAAGATGCCAGTGATGGTGAAAAAGTCATCCACATTGGGATAGGTCAAGATCAGTGCATTTAACAATGGACCTCGGAGACACTTCTCCTTAAAATAATGTGAAATATGCAAAATATATAAGGACACCTACAACTCAATAGTATTTTTTGAAAACGTAATAATTCTTTTAAAAATGAACAAAAGATTTGAATAGACATGACATCAAAGAAGATATACAAATGGCCAACAGGTATATGAAATAATTCTCACATCATGAATCATTATGGAAATCCTGCCATATGAAACAACAAAGTTGAACCTAGAAGACATTATGCTAAGTGAAATTGTCCAGTAACAGAAACACAAGTTCTGTATGATTCTATTCGTGTGAGTTATCTAAAACAGTCAAACTCATAGAAAGAGAGTGTAGACGCTAACTGCCAGGGACTGTGGAGAGGAAAAAATAGAAGTTACTATACAGCTATAAAATATCAGTTATATAAAATGGAAAAGTCCTAGAGATCTGCTATATAACATTGTGACTTTGTTAACCATACTGTGTTTTGCATGTAAAAGCTTGTTAAAAGAGTAGATTCCTTAGTAATTGCTTTTACCACAATTTTAAAAAATAGAAAAAATGTGACATAAGTCCTGGGATTACTTAAGAAATAATTTTAGTACACTAGAGTCAATTTATATTTGTATAATTCTCTCAGTTGTTCACTTGAATGTAATTTTGTAGAAATACAGTATAATATTTTTGGGAATAAATGTTAATATTCAGACAATGAGAGAATGTCAAATTAATTAACATATATATCTATATTTTTGTTAGACAGTGTTTATGTAAACCTGTTTTTCATTTCCACTTTGGAGTCATACTGACATATTTTAAGTATCCTTAAACATAATATACTATCTCTTTTTATGGTTTCAGCAGAAATATTCATTTTTATCTACAATAAAAAGGGTAAAATAGCAATATTTTGTTATTGCCATTATTTGTATGTTCTTGTTATTTTTGATTATTTTCCAGCTTTCTTCATACCAGAAGTTATCATTAAACACACTTTAAACTTGATTTCCAGCAGAGAATATAATACTAACCAACTCACACTCTTTATAGGCCTGTCTCAAGAAAATTCCACATTTGGAGCCAGTTCTCTTGTTAACAAAATCTCAGAGTATGATATAAACTCTCTACTCAATATGATTTTTAAAATATTAATTTTTATATTTCAAGAATCTTACTTTGAAAATTATAAATTCTGCAATAATTTGCATAATGTGTTATTTATTATTCATAATGTTTGATTTGTGTCTGCCCCTGAGATGCATGGGATCATGAGTGATGGGAGGATTGCCTCAAAAGAGTAAGAACAGATGAATGGAAGCTGGATAGGCAACAGCCACTATTATAGGAAATATCCTACCCATATCTATTGAGTATGCAGCTGTTGATTGATTTAACTATATTTGTGTAATTGTGTTTTTCTGCCTGCTTCATGTGATTAAAGAAAACATCAATAATATTGTACTGTATAAATAATATCTTTTTTCTATTACTCAGTGAATTGATATCAACTACCTACATTTGGTTGACTTAATAAATGCTCATTTCATTGCATTTGGAATTATTAACTATTTAAGATAATTCCTAACAGTAAGTGTATTTTTCCCCCTAACTAGATAGATAAAAGCATGAAGTGAGAGGTCTTGAAGAGATCATCATTTATCAAACATACCCCACCATGGCATTGGGGTTGGTTACGTGGGAGGGCTCATGTCACTAAAGGCAAAACTGGTACCTATTTCATTTTGCATTTTCTGGAAGACATATACTATATACTATAATTTTAGCATATAGTATATGGCGATTTAAGGTTTTGAGGTGTTGGTTTTGTAAGAATTTTTAATGGCTCATGGAGACTATGTAAGTATAACAAATACTTCATTGTACAGTTGATTTATTATTCATTATCTGTTCTGGTTGTTTAAAACTTTATTTTTTTTCCAGTTGTTTGACAGACAGTTTAGTCACATTTCTTTTTTCTGTGTTTTTTTTTTTGTTTTGTTTTGTTTTTTTTTTTTTTAGAGACAGTGTTTCATTCTGTTGCCTGGGCAGGTGTGCAGTGTTACAATCATAGCTCACTGAAGCTTTGAACTCCTATGTTCAAACGATACTCCTGCCTCAGTCTCTGGAGTAACTGGGATGAAAAGTGTGCACCACTATACCTGGCAAATTTTTAAATTTTTTTGTGGAGACAGTATCTTGCTATGTTGACCAGGCCGACCTTGAACTCTTGGCCTCCAAGCTATTTTCCCCCCTTGGCCTCCCAAAGCACCAGGATGACAGGCATGAGCCACCCCTCCCAGTCTTAGCCATGTATTTCTATACATATATTATGAGTTATTGGTGAATGACAGTAACAAGTCAAAATTGAAGTCTTGGTGTAGATATCCATAATTATAGCAAAAACTACTGGAAATGAACCAACTATCATTTTATGCAAAATGATACATAAATATCAGACAAAATAGAACTAAATCTAAAAAATGCCACACACCACAAAGAACGTGTTATATGAGTCCATTTAGATAAAGCTCAAAAACATGTTAAACTAGCCTATAGAACAGGAAGGCTGATGTCTGGAATGTGACATAAGAATGCATTTCTGGTGCTGAGAATATTTTATATTTTGAAGAGCATTGTTGCTAAACAGATGAGAAAATCATCAATGGCATGTGCATTTATATGTTAAGCTTTATTTTTAAATATTTAATAAATATATTGGAAGTAGACTGTTCTTAAAAAAATTTCCAAAGGAAAAGTACAATGGCTTTTGGAAACTCTTAAAAGATAAAAGATAAAAAATATATCCTACGTTATGAAAACAATTGACTGATATCAAATATATGGATTTTACCACATAGCAGATACAATCAGCATATTATAAATCCTAGCTTCAATTATTATTATTATTTAAATTATGCTTATGAAGATTTCTAAGAATTTTGGTATTAAATATTTAAATAAAATAAAGGAATACTAAAAATATTTGGTAACATTATACAATAAAATCAAGAAATAAATACAATAAATTGTTAAAAGTAACTCTGTATTGTATTAAAATGGCTGATTTTTCTTTTCTACTTTATACTTTTCTATATCTTTAAATTTCCTAAAATTTGCATTAAAACTTAAAAAACATTTCACCAATATTCTCATTCCCATTTACCCAATGATTATAAGACCGAATTTTATTTCGTCTAAATGGTTTTACGTACAGGAAAACAATAATATTATTTATAATAAAGGAATTAACCAAGACTTGATATTCATCTAAAGGAGATCATTGCAGGCTGGGTGCTGTGGCTCACGCCTGTAATCCCAGCACTCTGGGAGGCCGAGGCCGTCGGATCACGGGGTCAGGAGATCTAGACCATCCTGGCTAACACGATGAAACCCCATCTCTACTAAAAATACAAAAAATTAGCCGGGCATGGTGGCGGGCGCCTGTAGTCCAAGCTACTCGGGAGGCTGAGGCAGGAGAATGGCGTGAACCCGCGAGGCGGAGCTTGCAGTGAGCCGAGATAGCGCCACTGCACTCCAGCCTGGGCAACACAGCGAGACTCCGTCTCAAAAAAAAAAGATCATTGCAGTAACTACCATATACCTGACAAAAAGTTTATAACAACATATATAATATCATAAAACTAGTGACTCTTCTTTCAACATATACTTTTCTCTATTATTATTTGCTCAGAAATGTCATGTTATTAAATTAATATTTTAAAAGCATAATATGTACTTTTTATTGAGCAGCATTTGTGAAATAGTACTAGCTCTCACATGCTAATAGTCTAGAATAGCCCATATCTGAATACAGTGTTCATTGTTTGATGATGGAGACACGTAATCAAAGCTGTGTGTTCATAGTAGGTATACGAAAGGTAAAGAACAGGCCAAAGTTTCAAGCAAAGGTGAGGATTAAAGTCAAGCTAAGTATAATTCTTAATTTCTGGAAGGTAACAATGTCTTACTTTATCTCTGACTAAAGTACTTTGTCTCAAAATGCTATCTCTGTCAGCAAGATATAAAGCCTGGGAAGCTTAATATTTCTTATGCTAAGTTTGTTAATAGTGCCCATGAACTGGTTATCTCTAACAGCGGTGAGATCAGTCCTAAGTCTGTTCTGTATGTCTTTTTTTAAGATAGCAATCAGAGTCATGCAACTGCCAGGTGGACAGCATTGATCTGGAATGTTGGTGCCTGAGCTACTGTTTTTGCATCAAAACACCCACAATATGGAGAAAACTTTTCATAAGCAAAACCCCATGTGTGAATAAAATTCAGGGAACTAGGAAAATCTACACCTTTGCTCCCTGTACTCCGCAGCCGTCCGTTGGACTGCATCAGCTCATAGTTTGGGATGAACTGGATAAACAATACCTGTTAGTTACGCAAACAGACTTTTTCTGTTGAACGCTGCAACTGTCTGGGCTGCATACTCATTTAAATGACAGAATGCAGAAGCCATGGGTGACTCTCAGTATATAATCCTAGTCCATTGCCTTGTCATTCTAATTCAGCTGAGTATGCTTTTGGCATGGAATTGGGAAACGCTACTTCTAAAGCAGTGAATCTCAACTCTGGTTTTTTTTGTTTGTTTGTTTGTTTGATACCAATGTTAAAGCATATCTATAAGGTCAATTAGGTATAAATCTATGGAGATAAAGCCACTCAATTGATATAAGTGTTAAAATATGAAAGAAACCCTGCTAGAATAGCGCTTTTTGAAATAATATTACTGGACCAACAGCATAGATAACAACTTGAAACTTGTAAGAAATGCAGAATAGAAGGTCCATTTAATCAGAAACTCTGGAGTTGGAATCAAGCAACCTGTTTAACAAGTTCTGCATATGATTCTGATCCATGCTAATATTTGAGAACTCCAAGTGTAAACTAGAACACAGTGGAGTGGCTCAATATGGGGGGTGTAAATATTGGCATTAAGACTTACCACAGGAGTAAACAAAAGTGAGTAATTAATTAGAAATTGCTAAGTGTGTTGTAAGAATTCTGGTTAAAAAAATTATGTCTAGATCTAAAAATAAATAACTAGAAGCAGGTCCTACAGGACTCTTATTTATAAATTTCCACAAACCTGCCATGAGGAGGCTAATATAGAAAAAAGAGAAAGTTAAATTATTAATTTAAATTTATGTAATGCCTTTCACATTATGAAAGCTTTTCTACAATCACTGTTTAATTTTATCCTCAAAGTTGCTAAGAAAATGTACATGAAATGTTACATACACTTTTTATGGAAAAAGAGAAAGACTGCGGCTTAAGATGAAATTACCTTCTTCAAATCCCATGGCTAAGAATAAGCAGTCGGAACTTTTGACTTCAAATCTACTCTTCCAATGTTTGCATTTTAAGAAAGAATGAAAGGAAAGAACAATTTTTGCTTAGCAAGCATGACTACTCATGAATTTTGTTGTGTGTGTAGGTGTGTGTGTGTGTGTCTTCATACGCCATTCGATTTCCCACCACTACAGAAAAGGAAACAAAGTTTTTTTACATGAAGCTCAGAGTTATAATTAAAACAATCAAATCCAAGATCTCTAAAATGATTCTGAATAGATTGCAGATTGCTTAAAAGCAGAATATAATCAAGCAAATCCACGGACAATTTAATAGACAGAAACTTCTGTCTTAATTATATGTACTGGTGCAGTAGAGAGCCTGTAATAAAGAGGGATCATTTTATTTTGTTTTTAGCAGACTGTGTCTCATTATCTTGCCATTTGTCATAACAAATATTTATCTTAAAATGTGCATGTGACCAACCTTTTAACCTTTCTCTCTGTGTGAACTATCTGGATCTAAATTTTCCTTTAAACATATGAGATTATTCAGTGCTTATTGGGTTTCCTAATTGTTTATCAACATGTAGGTCTATACATGAGAGTTAGTGATACAAACTCCTCCTTCAATTTCCACCAGTCTGCCTTTATTAAAAAAATAATAAATCTATTTGCTTTAATTATGTAGAAGTAGAAACACATGAACTAGGTTAAAATGTAAGTTGACAGCCTGAGTAATACATGATTTTTTCCTTCTATTCACATATTACCCTGCATATGTTACAGGGTTGAGTCTTTTTTGGTTTAATTTAATTTCACTGTCCACATCAATGTATATCAAATTTTCATGAAGGAAAAATAAACCAATTTAATTAAACAGGGTATCAATTATATGTCAGGCATTATGCTAGGTCCTAGGAACTCAGTGGTGAATAACAAAGATGTTGTCTCCTTTTGGGAAAGACCGACAATGAACAAACAACTCTGAGTATAATAAACATGAAGGTGGAAGTAAAAATGAACAATGAATCTATCCTAGACACGGGAGAGAATTGAGCCCTCTGAGAGCAAGTCGTATTTCTGATAAGAGATAAAGTGAGTCTATTAGTTGGGCAGCTAGGGTGGTTATAAAGAAGAGATTTCATTCAGACAGAATAGCATGTTTAAAAACATGGAGAACATGGCTCATTCTCAGAACAGACAGAAGAAAAGCAGGGTAAGGAGCTTAGAGGGAGTAGTGTTAAAAATGTGCTGAAAATGAAAGCAGAGGCTATTTACATGTCTTCAAGACCAGATATAGGCCTCGACCAAAGGTCTATAAATAGATATTAAAGGATATTAATGACTTTATGTACATTTTTTAAAGAAATAATAATTTTGAATGCAGTGGGTGGAATAAATTAAAGAATGTCAAGAGTAGGGATTTAGCAGGATACTCTCTTAGTTTTGCTTGTGATAGACGCATTAGGGATGGTTGGAGCTCAGTGGAAAAGTTCAAGATATATTAAGTTGTTAAATGAAAAGATTTGGTAATTGTTTAGGTGCACATGTTAGGAAGAAGTGTATGTTTTAGGAAGAGGGAGGAATTAAGAATGACTCCCTGGTATGTGGCCTGAGAAAGGAGGTAGATAGATGTTTATAATAATGGCAATAGGAAACTCCAGTGGAGAAGTAGGTGTGGGTGAAGTAGAATGAGCAGTACAGTCAGAATCATAATGAATTTGAGATGCTTGCATAGAAGTAACACATACAGATGTCAGTTTCACAGTTGGGCAGTTATTCTAGATTTGCAACAAGGAGTTTCAGGCTGGGAATTTGCATTTACAAGTTGATGATGATAGAAGTGACTGCAATGAATCAACTCTCATTAGTAAACATACAGGAAAAGGAAAATGCCAGCCTTCCAGGAACATGAGGGCATACACTATTTGAGGAAGAGATTCAGCAAATGATATGGAGGATAAATACCTCCAAAACTGAGTTGAAAGCCCAGAGAGTATAATGTCCTGGTATCCAAGGGTACATCAGGAAGGTACAGGGGGGAATAAGCTGGATCATCTATCCTTGAGAGATCCAAAATTCTCAAAAGTAATGATTGGTTTCAGTGACATGGAAATCATCAGTCACTTTAGCAATTGTCAATTCTACTGATCAGTGAGAACGAATTGAGAACAAATGGAAAGTTGAAAAAATAAAGACAAAAAGTCTAAATAAAATTTCAACAAATTTTGCTGAAACAAAAAGTAACATAGGGTAATTTACATATCTAAAGGTAAAATAAACCTTACTGGGGAAGGGAAAATAATACAGAGTTTAACATTTTTAGATTGAAAGACAAGAATACAGCATAGAGGCAAATAGGCAAGAGTCAATAGAGGAAAAAAGGCTGAAGATGCAGGGAAGAGAGTGGATATAATTAAAGTTCTACTAGAAGCAGAAGAAAACTGGACTACTGTGGGTGGAGATTGGAGAAGGGTGTTTGTAAGGATGAAAGAAGTGAGAAAAAAGGTAAGAATAAAAAATGAGTAGAGAAAAAGGAATTTTAAAATGTATTCTGGCTGGGCACAGGGGCTCATGTCTGTAATCCCAGCACTGGGAAGCCTAGGTGGATGGATGATGTGAGGCCAGAAATTCCAGACCAGGCTGGGCAGCATGGCAAGACCCCGAATTCTACAAAAAAATGAAAAATAAAAAATAAATTAGTTGGGTGTGGTGCCACATGCCTCTAGTCCCAGCTACTTGGGAGGCAGAGATGGGAGGATCTCTTGAGCCCAGGAGTTTTAGGCTCCAGGGACTTAGGATCATACCATTGCCCTCCAGCCTGGATGACAGAACATGACAGAACAAGACCCTGTCAAAAAAAAAAAAAAAAAGAAAAAAGAAAAAAAATTATTCTGAAGGAGAGATGAAATAGAGCATTTGTAAAAAGAAATAATAGAAGTTGAGAGGTTTAGTGGAATGGACAAGTAAAAGAAATATCAGAGAGCTTGAATAGGAAGAAAATTAATTAGATAGCACCGGGGAAAGAGGAATGAGAGGAAGATGGAGAAGTTTGTCCTGAAGAATTTGAGGGCTATGACTACATTGTAATGCAAATGACCCTAATTACTGTCTGAATCTAAGACAGGGTCATGTATGTGTCTCCTTTTTTACAAGTTATAACACGATCTATAATTACAACTTAACTTTGCACCTGATCTAGGAGGAACACCCTTACATTTTTTCCCCATTTTTCCATTTTCTATCCTTTCAGTCCACATGCAAAACATTATTTCTTGCCATTGTGATTCTAAACTAATCTTGATCTACCATTGTTTTCAATTTACAATTGTTTCTACTTACTCAAGTCGCTTATAGATGGTAATTTTGACAAAAATGAAAGTACTTTTCTTGACACAGTTCATTAATACCAATGTGTACTTTTCTTGACACAGCTGATTAGTACCAATATATTTTGGCATTGTTTCCATTGTGTTTAGACACAGAATCTAACAGATTTTTTTTAATCAGAACCAAATAAAGAAGATATTATAAGGATATAAATGGACAAAGTTCATGATCACCTGCACAAACACAGGAATTTTGTATTGCATGGTGCATGGTCTTTGGAGCCCCAGAGACCTGAGCCTTAATTAAAGTTTGAAAAACTTAAGCAAGCTATTTTAAATTCGAAAGCCTTAGTGACCATGTGCAAAATAAGAAAAACAATATCTGCTTTTAAAAGAACATATATAAAATATATAGCACACAGCAATGCTCAATAAATGTTAAATTTTTTTATACAGGATTTTTTTTTTTTTTTAGATGGAGTCTCGCTCTGTTGCCCAGGCTGGAGTGCAGTGGCTCGATTTCGGCTCACTGCAAGCTCTGCCTCCTGGGTTCACACCATTCTCCTGCCTCAGCCTCCCCAGTAGCTGGGACTACAGGCGCCCGCCACCACGCCCTGCTAATTTTGTTTTTGTATTTTTAGTAGAGACGGGTTTCACCGTGTTAGCAAGGATGGTCTCAATCTCCTGACCTCATGATCCACCCACCTCGGCCTTCCTATACAGGATATTTTAAACTGTTAATTTTTTTATTATTGTCAGTCTTACAATCTGATTTGTTGAGAAAATAAATATTAAATTTAAAATAATATACCACCAAAAATATTGTTAAGGAAGGATCACTAAATTGAAGGGCAGAATATAGTAGCTAGCATCTAATTTATTTTTGCAGAAGTCATTTTCTAAAAATTTTTGGTCATGACTTAAAATATATTTTATTATGAGCAATTAACTGTGTAATAATAAAAGAGGGAAGGGCATGATATTTTTGTATTATCTAGTATGTATGCTATACTACATGTGCAATTTTTACCCATTGTCTTATGTAACTATAGAACAATCTTTATCAATGCCAGCCACCAAGAAGAAACTAAATTTCCAAGAGATTTAAACTAATCTTCCATGATTACTCAATTAATGCATATTGGAAATGAGCTTTAGAGAAAGCCCTGTTGGTGCCAGGGTCCATCCTCTACCTTTCACAATACTACACATGAAGAGAAGAAATTCCACAAAGTCTTTCCCTTACAGAAATGATTCAATGGTAAGAACTGCCTACTAGGAACTTGAGAGATATCCTTCCAGGAAAAATGCATGTTGAGTTATTTTGTCTAGAGTTAGGTAATGAAGTCTCTGGTGTCCAAATTCTCAAAGTCCTTGTTATTGATTTTTATCCCATCAGTAAAACAATTAATTTATTGACATGCCTGATGAAGTCCAATCTCTCTTTTAGTTGAGAATTATATATAAAGAGCTATGAGTTGTGGTGTTTTTTTTTCCCCCGTGTTTTGTGTGGCAATTTGGACTCAGATGTCTAGGCTGTAGGACACATATTTCATAGAACACCCAATAATGTTAAAAATACCATCCCCAAGTTAATTTTCTGCGGTAGTAGGGGGAAAGAACCAATGGCAAAGTTGATCCTGCTTGCTCACTAAATTACCTATAATACTCAAAACTCAAGGTTTAAAATGCTAAATGTTCCAAATAGTTCTCAGATATCGTTAGAAAGTTAAAAAAAATCTCTTTATTAATTGATACAATCTAGAACAATCTTAACATGCTAGACATAGGTGGAAGTACCTTTAATTTCATTGCTGTCTTTCTGGAAATTTTCCTGCCATCTTAATTATTCTGTTGACCTATTTGCTTTAGACAATAAAATGGTAAATCTTATATTATCTAATTTTTAGACTCAGTTGCAACACCACCAAAATAGCAAGATGAAGTAGACTGGAAAATATATGTTGAATCCCATACACTTTCCTTCTCATTTGGCACTATTTATGTTTACATAATGCATGAGTAGCAGCAGGTGTTTGCAAGATATAATTTCACACATATATACACACACACTAACTCACAAATTTATATAGGGCTAAATAATTAAGTAGTTACATTTGGTATGCAGCACATAGAGCAGCAGCACAGATAAGTCTGCAATATTAAAGTTTTTTGAACTGTAGAATTATATTCTCATATTCAGATTGTTGATGAATATTTAGTTTGGGAATGGGGACAGTTGATTGCACTAATGATTTTGAGGCTGCACACCCTTCTTTCTCATCTGCTCCAATAAAAATCATGATATTGCCCTGGAGTTGACTATTACATGTTTTATTTCATTTGCATTTACCTCCCTCTTGAGACCTATTGTCCTCCTCTTTTTATGTTATAGCACATGATTAATTTATCTACTCACATTTATACTTGAAACAAAGCTTACATTTAAGAGGTAACATTTGTTTTAAAGAGAGGCGAAGAGACTGGCTGTAGTTGATGTTTGTAGCCAGAAATTTAGTCAGCAATAAGAACTTTATGGCAGTAGAGTGATTGCATATTGTAAAATATATGCAAGGCCATTTGGTGATCATATTCTGTGCATGTTTTATAAAGGAGGACTTTTAATACAATCATATTTGTAATTTTATGGCAAATAAAGTATATATGGGTGAAGAGATCATTTGATTTTTTTCTAAAGCTTTAGTACTTTACCAATATTTTCCTTAAAGTATTTGCTATGATCCTGGCTCCTATGTTATTAATTTATTATTTTGAATCTCTTTCAAGAAATAAGATTTTTAAATGAAAATGACTTGGTATATAAAAGTTAAATCAACTTATCAATTTGTAATTTTTATGGAAATTAAATATATTTTAGATTTTAGAAAAAATAAATCTAAACATATATTTTTACCTAGCAAAATAATTTAAAAATTATATTGAAGTCAATGATGAATAAGAACATTATTATATGATTAGCATCTTCATATAGTTTTGAATTTTCTTACAAAGTTTATCTGAGACTTAAAATTAACAAATTATGTTATTTATGATGTTTATCATTCTTCATTTTATATAGATATAGATACAAATATAAATATCTTTATGTATCTTATTAAACAAATAATCACTCAATTGTTAGATCAATAGAACAAGAGATAGATAGATCGATCTTAATGCCTCTCAGAGAATATGTGGTCTTAAAGCAATCACACATAACAAAACACTACCAAATAAAAACAAAAAGATTTAGGTATTCATTAGTATTAGTATATTTTTGGTTATTTAGATATTATTATTATTATTGTGAGAGAAAGACAATATCTGCTAAAATCCTGGGAATATTGCGTTATTCTGGCAGATATTTCTTAGTTGTGTTGTACGTTCTGCTGACATTCATCTCTAATAAATTCCACCATTTTTGCTTTCTAAGTGGTTTCCCTTTTTAGCTGTTGTGACTTTTAACTCATCATTCTTCTGCAATTTCGAGTAGCACCGAAAGTAGTTAGATCTATTGGCATCTTGCTGTTAGGGTTGTCTGCATGATGAATCCCATTATTTTACTGGCAAATATTGAGACAGCAAAGTCCAGTTGTGTCATGTAGTAAACCATTTGATTTCCCTCATAACATAATATTTTTTTCTGATGCCATTTCTCTGGATAACTACTACTACTATTCATCCTTACAGTTATTACAGGCATGGATATTAAATATATTCATTTCTGAATAACTCTTGCCCTCCCCAAATACATGTATGTGGAAGAAAGTCGTTTCCAAATAACCAATATGTTAGTAATGTGATTGGAAGAAACACTTTGTGCATGCCTTCAAGGGTTACCAAGAACACGTGCAGTTGTTTGGATGGTACAGAGGATCAGAGGATTCTCCTTTTGCTCAGGCTGATTTGTTCCTTTTAATAGCCTTTCATTTGTGTTCAATTCTGTTTGTGATTTGTGTCCAAAAATGTGTTGGATATTTGTTTCCCCACTAAAGTCCTACATAATTGAGGTAAATTTTAAGGACTGAATATTATAAAAGCAAAAATAAATCATTTTTAAGAGAACTTTTAAAATCCTTTAAAAAATTATGGTAATACATTTCCCCAAAAGGGAACTCTTTTTTATTTTCCTTTCTCTTTCCTACTTTTAGCAATACTTATTTAACTTTGCTATAATTTTCCAAATTTTCTGCAATAGTGTTTTTTGTTTGTTTTGCTTTATTTCCACTGCTGTTTTGAGTGTGCTGCTGCTTTTTAATGATGCAGGACTATATCTCATTAGAGATGTAAATTAGAACACAAAACATCATGAAAAAGAAACTTTTAGGCAGAAAAGTATTAAATTTCAATGTGTAGTTTTATTTTTATGTTACTTTTTGACAATAGTGTGTCAATTTTATAGATGAGAGAATTTTTCTTATTTGAATTATCTCTCTATTGACAGATATTTTATCATAAGAGGCATTTACTTCATTATTTATTCCATATATACATATAAAATATAAATTAAAGACATTTATAAATGACATAAGCTTTTCTTTTGGAAAAAAGAATTAATTTATCAACATAACAAAAAAAGTCTCTTTTTTTTGGTTTTGTTTTGTTTTGTTTTTTAATGTGAGATGGAGTTTCGCTTTTGTTGCCCAGGCTGAAGTGCAATGGTGCGCGATCTCGGCTCACCGCAGCCTCTGCCTCCTGGGTTCAGGCGATTCTCCTGCCTCAGCCTTTCGACTCTCTGGGATTACAGGCACCCACCACCACGCCTGGCTACTTTGTATTTTTAGTAGAGACAGGGTTTCTCCATGTTGGTCAGGCTGGTCTCCAACTCCCGACCTCAGGTGATCCGCCCGCCTCGGCCTCCCAAAGTGCTGGGATTACAGGTGTGAGCCACTGCAACCAGCCCTATATTTCTTCTTATTATTAATGATATCACTGAGTACAGTCTCAGCTTTAAGTAAGACTAAAACCAAATTATCCTCAAGAACCAATTTGACATTTGTCTACTGACATTTGTCTCCTTCTTTGGAGAAGACAAGGTCTTGTGAATTTTTTTTTCACTCATTTATTCAATATATGTATTTAGCATCTATTTTGTTCCAGACACAGTCCTAGGAACTGCTGATCCAGAAATAGACAGAACACATAAGCTCCTCTCCTCATGGAATTTTGGGTGTGTTCCCTATGGAGCTTAGAGGGTGTTCTCTGCTAAGTCTGTGAATTTCCCATGATTACATCAACACCTTCTTTTCCCCTTGCTGTAAACCCTCTTGCATTGTACAGACACCTTTCACTATTATATTAGATAGAAACAATCTTAAAAGCAATAAAATGTGAGATTGAAAAATGTACGTCCTTTTTGTCTGTTCTTACCATATTATATTTAACTGGAGAAATGGAGCAGAAGAGTGAAAGTATATATATTAAAGTAAGGAAAATGCAGAATTACCTTGTAACCATTGATAACCACTTTGATTTATAATATAACAATAAAGTATAAAGAAAACCTTTTTTGGCATTTTTAAGCCTCATTTATCTTTTCACAGAAAATGTTAATGGCATTTGCAATTTAGCTTAACTACTAACTGATATCAGTACAAATAGAGGTCTTATTCCAGTTCTTCCTGAAACCCATGCATCTCCTAATACTAAAGTTATTCCATTTCCATCTTTATTTAAAATTCTTAAATTGCACCATTTTCATCAGCAACATATTGCTCTGAAGCAGTTTTCACAGCAGTCTCTTTTACCACATATCAATCAACATGATTAGTCCTGCCAAATACTCAAAAGTAAGAAATAAAAGAGCAAAAATAAGACAGACCTGCCAGGTATAACTTTTCAGATCAAATGATTCAAAATCTCTGTACTAGTGATCATTGTAGCTCAAGGAATATTTAGAGAAATGTAGACTTGAAGCTGAATTTATCAAAAGTCATTTTTTAAAAATCTCCTTTCACTTTCTTGAAACTCTTTTTTCTACAATAAGTTAAATAGATGGTAATGACCTGCTGAAATTGCATTTCTAATAATTTGGACAATGAGCCAAAGGTTACACACAAAAGCAAATTTTAAGGAAAAATATATAAGCAAGCTATCTCAAATGCATATGTTTCTCTTTATTCACTTTCATTAAATATAATCACTCTGTAATTTATATAATAAAAATGAGATCATTTTCTAACTTGTAATAGCAATAAATGATTTTCCTAGATGAAATAATGTTCTTAGGACTGTTTTAGACAATTATTTTAATTATTTTAGTGTTCCTCATAAGTACTTTTTACATAATTAATAATGCTGAAATAATTCAGTCATATAGTGTTTTACCATTTTTTCATGAATCTTATTTTTAGTTATTCTGTAGACAAAAGCTTAAAGCTTAAAATTTAGTGTAACACTATAATATGATCAGTTTCATATGTACCCATGAGGACCAATTTAAAGGGAGGATCTTCCTAAACAGAATTCTACAACCGTATGAAAGTCTTTACTTTTCATCTCCAACATGATGTGATATGTGAACAAATGAAAGTGGCCAGATGCAGTGGCTCAGTCCAGTAATCCCAGTGCTTTTGGAGGCCAAGGTGGGTGGATCAGTTGAGCTCAGGAATTCAAGACCAGCCTGGGCAACATGGTGAAACCTGGTCTCTACAAAAAATTAAACAACAAAAAAAAATAGATGGGTGTGGGAGCACATGCCTGTAATCTCAACTACACCAGAGGCTGAGGTGGGAGAATCACCTGAGCCCAGGATGTCGAGGCTGCAGTGGGCTATGATCTGGCTACTGCACTCCAGCCTGGGCAGCAGAGTGAGATCCTGTCTCAAAAGAACCAACCTATCAAACAATAACAACAAAAGAAAGTGAATAACTTTTCCTATTTAAAACTTTACAAATAAAAATATTTATTATATGGAATCTAATTACACTAAAGAGCTACACAGCAAAAGAAACTATCAACAGAGGAAACAGACAACCTACAGAATGAGAGAAAATTTTTGCAAACTATGCATCTGACAAAGGTCCATAAGAAACTGATGCAAATTTACAGGAAAAACAAACAACGCCATTAAAAAGTAGGCAAAGGACATGAAGAGACACTTCTCAAAAGAAGACACACATGCATCCAAAAATCATATGATAAAAAGCTCAACATCACTGATCATTAGTGAAATAAATATCAAAACTACAATGAGATACCATCTCACACCACTCAGAATGGCTACAATTAAAAAGTCAAAAAATAACAGTTGCTGGTGAGGTTGTGGAGAAAAAAGAACACTTTTACATTGTTGGTGGGAGTGTACATTAGTTCAGCCACCATGAGGGAAGACAGTGTGTGATTCTTCAGAGACCTAAAAACAGAAATCTGATTTGATGCAGCAATCCCATTACTGGGTGTATTAGTCCATTTTCACACTGATAAAGACATAATCGAGACTGGGTAAATTGTAAAGGAAAAGAGGTTTAATGGACTTATAGTTCCACATAGCTGGGGAGGCCTCACAATCAAGGCAGAAGGCAAAGGAAGAGCACACTCACGTCTTAAATGGTGGCAGGCAAGAAGAGCTTCAGCAGGGGAACACCCATATATAAAACCATTAGATCTCTTGACACTTATTCACTACCATGAGAACAGTATGGGGGAAACCACACCATCTCCACCTGGCCCCACCTTTGACATGTGGGGATTAATACAATTCAAGATGAGATTTGTGTGGGGAAGCAGCCAAACCATACCACTCGGTATAACATTATAAATCATTCTATTATAAATATACATACACGTGTATGTTCACTGCAGCACTATTCACAATAGCAAGGACACGGAATCAACCAAAATGCCCAGCAATGATAGACTGGATAAAGAAAATGTGGTATATATTTACCATGGTATACTATGCAGTTATAAAACAAATGAGATCATGTCCTTTGCAAGGACATGGATGAAGCTGGGAGCTATTATCCTTAGCAAACTAATGCACGAACAGAAAACCAAATACCACATGTTCTCATCTATAAGTGGGAGCTAAATAATGAGAACACATTGACATATAGAGGGAAACAATGCACACTGGGGCCTACCAGAGGACAGAGGGTGGAAGGAGGGAGAGGATCAGGAAAAATAACTAATGGATACTAGGCTTAATACTTGGGTAATAAAAACATCTGCATAAGAAACTCCCATGACACACACTTACCTGTGCAACAAATGTGCACATTTTGCAAATGTACCCCAAAACTTAAAATAAAAGTTAAAAAAATCATTATAGTTTTCCTGTTATTTTTCTATATGCATTGGGGCTGGATATTTCATCATTCATCTATCTATCTATCTATCTATCTATCTATCTATCTATCTATCTGTTTATCATCTCCAGGCTATAAAGAAAAATATCTGTATCTGATGAAGAGTAATGCATATTGCATTGAGATACTGGTCATGAAGCTAGGTACAAAAATTGTATGTGATTCAGTTGTCTTCTGAAAAGATTGGAGTTACCATGTTTGAAAGTGTATACAAAAAGAAAAAATACTGTTATTGGATGGCTGAAGTGGTAGAAAATAGAAGGTATTGCCATTGAACTCCACAGACACACATTCTTCCCCCAACTACCCAGCTACACTACCCTTTAATGTACAGTTGGGTGGGCTCAGAATAGTCTATGACTTAATGATTATCTTAGCCCCCTTGCCATTTATTGCTATAGGAAACCCAGTCTATATCGATCAGCATATAGTAATTTTACAGTGAAAGAAATAAGTACAATTCAAGCCAAAAGTTTACCACTGACTTCCTGGAAAATTTTTTCACTTTAAAAATCTAGGCAGTGGTCATCTCTTCCCTGCTGAATAAAATTGCTATTGTTCCCCTCTGCAATCATTCTAGATCCTCCGTGCCCGCCAAAGGAAGACCAAGTGGAACCATGGAAAAAATATGTATTAATCATGATGCTACTGTGCCCCTAAATCATCAGGTCCTGGATCTCATGCTAAGCTGTAGACTTCTTTTAATGTGATTAAATACATATTAATATTGTTCAAAGTAATTGGAGTTAGATTTTCTGCTTCTTACAGCAGAAAGAATATGAGGGAATACTTTGCCTCCAGGTTTGATCAAATATTAGCTTCATCTTGACTCAATAATTGATTTATCCTTTCAACATTTATTAAATATCTACTATCTCAGTAAAACTATATTTGACTGTAAATAAGTGTCTTAGACAAAACATATGTTTATTTCTCTCTTGCATAAACACACTTCCAAGGTAAAGGGTCCAAAGCAATTTACTGACTCTGTTGTATGAACTCCCTTAGGAATCAAAGACTTCCTGTTTAGAACTCTGCTATCCAATGGATTTGCCCCCAGTGTCATGTTTCAAAATGGAATACACATATCCCAAGAAGTGACATGAAGGAGGGAACCAAAAACAATAAGGCCAAAATGTGTGTGCCAGCTCTCGCTTAAGGAAGGTTTCTACAAATTGCCAGATGACATTTCTTCCTATATCCCATCTGACCTGAATTTACGCTCGCTCCTTGAGTCATGTGTATTTTGGATTGGCATGTATAATTTAGAAAATTTGGAGTATAGATACTGAGGACAGCTAACAATCTCTGCCACTACCACTACGTGCCAGAAATTATGTTAGCTGCGGAACATTAGCAAGATTCAGGATTTACAATAATTTTGTGACAAATATATGACCAATAGATAAGATAACCATGTAATTTATTGCCCAAACCAGAACAACTTTAAGCATGAAAGAAGGTTCTATTTAAAATTTTGCTGGATAATCAACATAAATCGAAACTGCTCCTGGATATTACAAAAGTGTGCAGGTAGGCAGTATCATTTAGGTATTAGAGCTCTTTATGTATTTTTTCCTCTTAATTAAAACATGTTCTATTTACATAATTTTAAATAACAACTCTGTATCCCTAATATTTTAAAATTTAAAATAAAATATTCTTTGTTAATGATTCCATGTCATGGGGAAATTATTTTTAGACATTTGTGAACATGTTGAAAGCCATAAATATGTCTCCCTATATATTTTATTTTACTATATATTTTATTTTATATGATTATATTTTATGAGCCCCTTGATTTTTTATTGTTTCTTTTCCTCTATGGTTAATCTGTAAATTGTTGGTCTTGGTTTTGGTAACTACGTTTTAACAGTCACTCTAACACTCTCATATAAAATTATTGTTCCAAAGTAGTTTAAGCTGAACAAAGATATAAAATATCTTACTAGAATTGTGTGTAAAACAAAATGCTGAGATGGATCCAACTGAGTAAAGTGCATTTTAGGGCATGAAATTTTAGACAGCTATTTCAGGTTACCTAGAGATCTGTGTAATGTCTTAGCTCAAATTTTTAATACTTATAATATAGAGTTCAGATTATTAAGGGAATCTCTGCACGTAAAATAGAAAAATATGTCCTGTTGCTATGCATTGTATTACATTTGCTCAGCTATATGGCAAAATACACTTTGGACAAATTTTTAATTCCCTTACTGTTCTCTTCCTTTAATATGTCAAGTACATTATCATTGTATCTTCCCTAGTCCAGTCAGAGAATCAGAAATCAATCCAGGTTGTTCAAATAGGCTGAAAGCTTACAGAGGCAGCAGAGGAATAAAAGATAAAAATGACAAATGGCTGAAGGGAGTGAAGGAACAAAAAGAAAGAAGACATAATGCCAAGGAATTAAAGTTGCTAATGCCTCTGGGCTGGAGTCCACCAGCCTGCATCAGCTACTGCACACTAGAAGAGGCTATAGTAGTAGTTCTGGATCCACTAATGAGGCATCCTTTTGATAAACATTGAAACTATCAAAAAAGTGCTCAAGTTCAGTAATTTCTCACTGCTACCAACCACTATTGTTTCTGCTGAGAAATCTAGTCAGCAAGATATGTGAAAAACAAAGTTTGTAAGTTCCCAGTGCCCTAAAATACACAATATGACACAGAAAAACATATACGAGGGCCTATATTAAACTGGAAAAGACAAAAATAAAGACCAAACATTGAACCTAGGAAAATAAACCACACAAATTGAAATTGAGGATTATCTTAGTGGCTGTGGATGTGTCAATGATGTTGGCTTCTTATCCACATGACTGTTTATAGGTGTTTTCTTCTGCCTGGAAAGTTTAGAGTAACTCAAGGATAGCCTTTATTATTAGCAGATTCAATTTGAGTTTTTACTTTAAATAGTTAGTGACTACTAAGTGCATGGGTCACAGACATGTGAAGCACATGTATACGATTAGACTAATATCTTGCATAATTCTTTGGAAGGTTGACATAATTCAATAAATTCACTTGCGTTTGGTAATAAAATTGTTTTCATGCCTGTAGAATTGTTCCTATAACAATAAACACATTTTCATTTTTATGTACCCATTCAGCTAAATATGTATCAGTTGTATTAATATATACACACACCGTATTGGTCAGAATAGCTTAGGTTTTGTTGTGCTGTATAAAGAAAATGGCACTGACATCTCACGTATGCAAAAATTAATTTCTTGTTGCTCTTATACCTGTTGTAGGCTCAGTTGTTTGTTTAGACTATACTTTCAACCCTCCATTTCGCAAATGAGTCATCTAGGCTGCTCAGACCTCAACATTATTCCTCTACCTCTAAACAAGGTCTTCTCACTTTTCGCAGCATGGCATGATGCAGGCAGAAAGTCCCACAGAGGCTCTCCTATGCCTATTCTTGGAAGTGATAAATTACTTCTAGTCACAAATTTTGTGGCCCACTAAAATTTTTTGCTATGTTATCTTTTAGGAGTTTTAGAGTATTGTGTTTTGCATTTAAGTAGGTCTATGATCCATTTTGAGTTAATTTATGAAAGGTATGAAATCTGTTTCTTGATTCTATTTTTTTACATGTGGATGTCCAGTTTTTCCAGCATCATTTATTTAAAAATGATATTTTCTCCATTGAATTTTCTTTGTTCCTTTGTTAAAGATAAGTTGACCATACCCATGCAGAAAATGATTATTTTAAGAATTGATTATAGGAATTTCAAAACTAAACAGGAATAAAATTCCAGGATTACAATAAAACTAATTTTGGGGTTTGACAATGGCTTCTTAGATTAACACAAAAAGTACAATTCATAAAAGATGATAAATTGGACTTAATTAGAATTAATAACTTCTGCTTTGTGAAATATACTGTTAAGAAAATGAAAATATAATCTACCTACTGGGGAAAAATTATAAAACACCTATTGAAAAAAAGAAACAGATCCAAACTATAGAAAGAACTCTTAAAGCTAAATAATAAGAAAATAAAGACTCAATAAAAAATGAGTATATATCTAAACAAAAACCTCATCAAATAAGATATACAGATGGCAAATAAGCATATGAAAAGATGTTCCACATCATATGTCATTAGGAAATAGCAAATTGAAAGAATAATGAGATGTCAATATGGACTTATTGGAATGGCTTAAATCCAAAGCACTGACAATGCCAAAGGCTGGAGAGGACATGAAGCAACAGGAGCTGTTATTCTTTGCTGGTCAGTATGCAAAATGGTACATCCACTATTGAAAACAGTTTGGTAGCATCTTACACAGCTAAATATAGTCTTACTATGTTATCCAGCCATCACACTTTTTGGTATTTGCCTAAATGAGTTGAAAACGTATGTCTGCAGGAAAATATGTTGCATGTGATTGTTCACTTTGGCTGTATTCATAACTGTCAAAACCTGGGAACAACCGAGATATCCTTCAATAGATGAATGCATAAACAAAAAGGATACATCCATACAATGGAATATTATTCAGAGCTAAAAATGAAATGAGCTATCAAGCCACTAAAAGATACAGTGAAATCTCAAATGCATAGTGATTAGGGAAATATGCTAAATCGTCTACATACTGCATGATTCCAATGATATGACATTCTGAAAAAGGCAAAACTATGGAGGCAATAAAAAATTAGTGGTTGCCATGAGCCTGGGGTGGGGAAAGGGAGGAATAGGTGGTACACAAGGAATTTTACAGCAATAAAGCCCTTCTGTATAATGTAATATGAATACATTTCATCACACATTTGTCAAAATAAAATTTTCAACACAAAGAGTAAACTATAATGTAAATGTGTCAGTATTGGCTCAATAATCATAATAAATACGCCACAGTAATGAGCGATGTTAATAATAGTGAAAATTGGGAGAAAGGTGAGGGGGTATAGTATCTACTTTTGCTCTCACTTTCTGTAAACCTAAAGCTGTATGAAAAACAGTCTATTTAAAAATATTCTTTGTATCAACTTCACCATATTGATGATGTTCTCAGAAATGCATTTTTAAGATTTCAGACATGTTTATATTTGAATTAGATTGTATGTTTATAATTTTGAAAAGTATCCATTTTAAGGTTATAATTTTGAAAATTATCCACTGCTATGTTTATTATAAAAGAGTAAAAAGAACAAATTATTTACCAGAATTTGACAAAAATTTTGGTACATAAAGGCTTGTATTATCGGACATTTGGTGTTGAAATAATTCAAACAATATGGCGCTAATGGGAGATTCAAGGCAAAGATTAAAGCTTAGAATATATTAACCTTGAAAACATTTCTGTGTCTTATTTAATATATAAAAGTTTTAAGTCACATAATTAAGGGAGTGATTAAAATTATAGTATAGAAAAATGTATAATACAATCAAATTAGGTGTTCACCCTCCACTATTATCTAAAAACTAAATAAATACAAAAAAGCTATAAATAACAAGCAAAAATGAAGCAAAGAATGGAGATTAAACCATAATAATAATATCATGAGTTCATGTGGGCATCCCCTCTCCAGCCCAAATTGCTAGGTATGGCAAGAAAAATAAATACATAACCACTCTACTGATTGTGTTGATGTTAGAGTCTTTTGAAATTCCTGAAATACATCAGGATTATTAAAAAAAAATTCACTGGACTTTATCCACCCTGGATCACTGGCAGGAGGATGTGCCCAGACTGGTAGAACAGGAAACTGAGAAGGCCAAGATGGCTGACTAGATGCAGACAAGTGGACTAGCTTCCATGGAAAGACTGAGACAACCGGCATGCTTTCTAAAACATCTTCAGAGGGAAGGCACAGAGAACAGATTGAGAGAAGACACAGAAGCTAGGCTAAAGGGGGAGAAATCTGGAAACCCCACATGGGCTACCATGCACTGGGACTCATTTTTAAACCAAAACAGGGAAAACGGGTGAGTTGAACAGGCAAGGAGAAACACGCTCTCTCCAAGAGTCTCTGGAACCCCAGCAGGAGGAGACTCTATGACCAAAGAGACAGTTGAAGTGGCGGGAAGAGCTGCTAAGAGAAGTGGTGGGGTGGTGAGCCAGCTGATGCGGAGCCCAGAGGGTTTGGTACAAAGGCATCTGTAGAGGAGCACAGCCAGGTGTGGCCATCCCTCTATGCTCAACTTACTCCTGTAAGAGACATTAGCCCTAGGGGAACTATCAGATCTGATCGCTGCAGGATGGCCTTGCACTTCAAGGGGGGCTGGTCTGACCTGAGCACCTCTTGGTCTGCTGCCCTCTCTCAGGGCCCCAACCTGGCCATATCTGCCTACAAGGCAGTCTTGGGTATCCTAGGGGCCTACACCATAGCTTCTGCCCTGGAAGAGTATGTCTGACCGATGGAGAACTCCCGCAAGGTGACTACTACAACTGCACACCAGCCTGCACATTCCCTCCCCATACTGAAGCTTCCTCTAAGCCCACAGCAACTCCCCACATCACTTTGCTGGCATGTGTCTCCATGGCTGGGTTTTGTTTTACTTACTTCATGAGCGTGTGGGAGTATAGTCCACCCTCCTTCACCCCCATCACCTTCCCCTACTGACTGCCATTGCAGATGGAGATTTGGCAGGCACAGAGCCAGAAATTCCCACCTCTGCCAGAACCCTGCCCTTGTACAAACACTGTGTGGAGAATAGCAGACCCTTCCATACCCTGAGAAATCACTCCTGCTTGCGGGGAGCAGGGAAGGCACCCAGACCTGTGCCACCCAGAATGCTGCCCCAAGCCAACATCACCTCCAATGCAGTGGTTCACACAGTCTCCAGCAGGGACCACTACTTCCCCCCTCCCCAACTGTTTTGCCTTCACCACTGTGGTGAACACCCACAGAAAGCAGACACCCCTGCATTCGTGGCACTCTGCTGCAGCTACCACATCTCAGCCCCACAGTGCAGGGGACTCCAAACCTCAAGGAGCCAGACAACAAAGTCAGGGCCCAATACAAGTCCCCCAGATTTAGATAATGAAGTCCAGGAGTTGGGAGCTGAGTATTGCCCTCTAAAATTTCCCAGAAATGAAGCCAGTCAACTGAATCCTCCTTACCATACAATAAAACCCTTGTGATCATCAAATAGGATATGAGGGAAAAAAAATCCAAAAATCAGCAACATCAAAGATTGAAGGTAGATAAGCCCACAAAGTTGAGAAAGAATCTGTGCAAGAAAACTGAAAACTCGAAAAGCTAGAGTGCCTTCTTCCCTCAAGTAATTGCATCACCTCTCCAGCAAGGGTTTGGAACCGGACTAAGGCCGAGATGGTTAAAATGACAGAAATAGAATGCAGAATATGAATAGAAACAAAGTTCATTAAATTACAGGAGTATAATGAAACCCAATGCAATGAAGCTAAAAATCATGATAAAACAATGCACGAGCTGACAGACAAAATAGCCAGTACAGCAAAAATCATAACCAGGCTGATTGATCTGGAAATTGCACTACAAGAATTTCATAATGAAATCACAAGTATTAATAGAATAGACCAAGCAGAGAAAAGAATCTCACAGTTATTATTCACAGCACAATTATGAAATAATTGGACTAATGTCTAATAATAATGATAGTTACATTAATTGCCTATTCTACCATGTTTTTTGCATTGGTACGTCAGATATTATTCAGCCTTTATGATTCTATGAGATATGAACTATTTTCTAATTATTTTATAGGTCAGTAAACAGGTTTGGTGTGGTTAATTTGGAGAGATATAATTCAAACGCAAGGAGTCTGGTACCAGTGTGCTCTTAAACAGTACGTTATAATGAGACTTTTTAAAGTGAGAAAGCATTGAATATTCATATCAAATAATATGGATTATATCCTATCAATAATAATAATAGAGGGAGATCCTGCAAAGGACATTAGTATGACCTGAGATTTAAAAATATATTTTAAATAAAACAGGATACTAAAGAGCACTAGATTATTCATTGATATTTTATATAGTATGTCATATATAGTAATGCATAAATGTGTGTATAAATATGTGTGTGTGTGTGTGTGTACACACACAGAGCAGGAGGGAGTAAAAATTTAAAAGAACCTGAGCATCTACATAAAAATATTTGAGATACCGAAGGAGACTAAACTAGCATATAGAGTTAAAATAGCTAACATTTACCGACTGCTTAATATATTCCAAATGTTTCTGCTTTTCTGAGAAATTAGCAGTAACATGTTGTTACATATCTGAAAGTTAAGTTTGTGAACTCACTTAAGATGCCCTTCCAATTGCCTGTAATTTTTTTTTCTTTTTTTGCCCAATTTCTGGAGTATTTCTCATAACTTTCATCTGATTCTACTTGGTCTTCCCACCTCATAGTATTACTGTTACCTCCACCCCCTTCCTCCAGGTGACAATTCAGGTAGTGGCGATTAACTGTTCTGTTTTGAGTGGGTATACCTTACACTTTTTAGTTACCTAAGAAAATCTGTTTCACTTAGATCCACTTTATCCACCAGAGGACTACACTAGGATTTGCAAAAATAGCCATTTAGTAATTAAGTATGATCATTTCTATGAATGATGATTTCATAGCTCATTAAGATACTCACTGAGATTAGACAAAGTTACTTGGACAGTTAGGGGATTAGAATGACAATATCTTACCAAATAGCCACATATATGTTAAAGTACTTTACAATTCTCTTTCAATAAAGAAAATTAACCTAATATTTCTACTATATCAATAAAGTATTCAGATATATTTTTAGCCTATCAATGCATTTTTTAAAGTTTCTCATCATATATTATGGCAAAATTGAGAGATTTATATGAATTATACTGCAGTTACTTTGCTTTACAATTATTTGAAAAATTATGTCCCAGGAATGTTGAGTAGCAGATTGTTTGAAACTGGAAGTAGGAGGTTTTGAAAGCTGTCATAAGTATGGTATGTTTGGTATGCTACAAAGTCCCATCTTTGGCTTCCACATTATTATTAACGTCTTTGATAAGGTTATTTTGGTTGCTGATGACACAGATCAGCCAGAGCAGGGGGAAAAAAAAAAATCACACTTAATGAGTGTAGCTTTTCATATAAGCTGAATTAAGAGGAAAAGACACAAAATAAAACAAAGGGGCATATACTTACACACGTGCATACACACACGTGCGTGGATTTACTCACATGCTACACAAATTGCATTTCCAATTCGTTATCCGAGGATAGACAATCACAACAGAAATAACTTTTCAACTGTGGCAAAACAGATGTAGCCATATAATCCTTAATAAGGGAACGTAGTTGCCTGTAGCGCAATGCCTAAACAAGGTAGAGTATACTGGGGCCCTAAAAAGGCAACTTGTGCTGTAATTCTAACTTTTTATGCATAGAACTTTGACATTTGTCTTAACTTATCAGTCAATATGCTTTTTTTTCATAAATTTATAGAAGTCTTGAGCTAAATTCTGCATCAGCAAAGCCACATATTCTTCTAGAATGAGAAATCACAGTTAGTGCCTAAATGACTGAAAAAAACTCTGCATTTTGCTTTCTCAATAAATGACTTTCTTTCTACAGTAGCACAACTATATTTCAAAGTTCTGATGAAACAAACAACCTGAAATTTAGCCATAATAAATGCAATGTCTGTGTTTTGACTTAAAACATAATAAAAATATAGAATGAGTGAAGAGGCAGGGGTAATATCTAGCAAGAAAAAAATTAACTCAGATATATATGATTTTATTTTAATGTTTCCTAGTTCACTGTGCCTCTAAAATAGTAAACACCCTCAAGATTTAAGCCTAAATAAATAAATTTAGGGTCCAGCTAAGGAAGCTTATCTGTGAAACCCTTGTAATCCCAGCACTGCACTTTAGAGTTATTACAAACTAGAGTAATGCAAAAAAGCAAATAACATATTACAAGATAAATTGAGTAATATAGTTTGAACAAGTAAATATTTCTAACCATCTTCAAATACTTCATTGGCATCCAGGTAGAAGAAAGCAGATTGATTTCATGTGTGAAGGACCAGGACAAATCTTAGGGAAGTTGATATTTAATCAGTCCAAGTAAGGAAATTGATTAGAATTAAAACAATCCATTAATAGGTATAGACTGTGTCACAGTCACAGGGGAAACACAAAGTGGCTTATTCAAATAAAGTTTAGATAAATATCTATGAAAGATTTTGTAGAAGGGATTCAAATGACACAGTTAATTCAGAAAATCATGCTGAAATCTGACCATGAGAACAGTTTATCAAAGGAAGTTCTGAACTCTGAAAAATCTCTAATGTTTTTGTCCAATAGAACAAGTACCCAAGAAATAGACCCACATTAGCCACATGATTAGTATGCTTCACCATCACCTAGCGCATTGATGTCTTGGCCTAATTTGTAAATGTGTACAATATAAACCTTGCATTTAGATAGATACAAGGTCATCTACATTTGTGATTCTGTACCCTAGCTGTCCATTAGAGTCGCCTGAGTTTTTTTTTTTTTTTTAACTCATCAATTCTTAGTCTTCTCTACACCCAGATATTTTTATATAAATGTTTGGAGTAGGTTTTTCCTTTCCTGCATTCAGAGCTGAGAGCCACAGAAGTCATCTAACTTTATTACAATGGGAGTGAATAGCAATCTCATGATGTCAATTATATACAGCTTCAGTATTTCTCAGGAAAGAAAATAACTTTCTCATTTATTCATAAATCAAATAAACAATGAGTCCTTTTGCTAAGTCGAAGAATAAAAGAAAAACAAGATCCCCAGGCAATATGGCCCAACAGCAACAGCTCCGTTCTGCAGCTCCCAGCGAGACCAACACAGAAGGTGGGTGTTTCCTGCATTCCTAACTGAGGTAACCAGTTCATCTCATTGGGACTGGTTAGACAGTGAGTGCAGCCCACGGAGGGCAAGCTGAAGCAGGATAGGGCGTTGCCTTACCTGGGAAGTGCAAGGGGTCAGGGAACTCCCTCCCCTAGCCGAGGGAAGCCGTGAGAAACTGTGCTGTGAGGAACAGTGCACTCCGGCCCAGATACTATGCTTTTCCCACAGTCTTCACAAACCGCAGACCAGAGGATTCCCTTGGGTGCCAATGCCACCAGGGCCCTGGGTTTCAACCACAAAACTGGGCAGCTGTTTAGGCAGACACCAAGCTAGCTGCAGGAGGTTTTTTTTGTACCCCAGTGGCACCTGCAATGCCAATGAGACAGAACCATTCACTCCCCCGGAAACGGGACTGAAGCCAGAGAGCCAAGTGGTCTTGCTCAGTGGATCCGACTCCCATGGAGCCCAGCAAGCTAAGATCCACTGGCTTGAAATTCTCGCTGCTAGCACAGCACTCTGAAGTTGACCTGGGAGTCTTGAACTTGGTGGGGGGAGGGCATCCTCAATTACTGAGGCTTGAGTAGGCAGTTTTTCCCTCACAGTGTTAACAAAGCCACTGGCAAGTTTGGACTGGGTGGGGCCCATCGCAGTGCCCCAAAACTGCTATACCCAGACTACATCTCTAGATTCCTCCTCTCTGGGTGGGGCATCTCTGAAAGAAAGGCAGCAGCCCCAGTTAGGGGCATATAAATAAAATCCCATATCCCTAGGACAGAGCACCTGGGGGAACAGGCAGCTGCGGGCACAACTTCAGCAGACTTCAACATTCCTGCCGGCTCTGAAGAGAGCAGCAGATCTTCCAGCACAGTGCTCAAGCTCTGCTAAGGGACAGACTGCCTCCTCAGGTGGGTCCCTGACCCCTTTGCCTCCTGACTGGGAGACATCTCCCAGCAGGGGTCAACAGACACCTCAAACAAGAGAGCTCCAGCTGGCATCTGGCAGGCGCCCCTCTGGGACAAAGCTTCCAGAGGAAGAAGCAGGCAGCAAACTTTGCTATTCTTCAGTTTCTGCTGGTGATACCCAGGCAAACAAGGTCTGGAGTGGACCTCCAGCAAACTCCAGCAGACCTGCAGAAGAGGGGCCTGACTGTTAGAAGGAAAACTAAAAAACAGAAAGCAGTAGCATCAACCTCAACAAAAACGATGACCACGCAAAAACCCCATTGGAAGGTCACCAACATCAAAGACCAAAGGTAGATAAATCCAGAATGCCTCTTCTCCTCCAAAGGCTCACAACTAGCCAGCAAGGGAACAAAACTGGACAGAGAATGAGTTTGATGAATTGACAGAAGTAGGCTTCAGAAGGTGGGTAATAACAAACTCCTCTGAGCTAAAGAAGCATGTTCTAACCCAAAGCAAGGAAGCTAAGAACCTTGATAAAAGGTTACAGGAACTGCTAACTGGAATAACCAGTTTAGAGAAAAACATCAATGACTTGATGGAGCTGAAAAACACAGCACGAGAACTTCATGAAACTTGCACAAGTATCAATAGTCGAATCAATCAAGCAGAAGAAATGACATCAGAGATTGGAGATCAACTTAATAAAATAAACTGTGAAGACAAGATTAGAGAAAAAAGAATGAAAAGGAGCAAACAAAGCCTCCAAGAAATATGGGACTATGTGAAAAGACCAAACCTACGTTTCATTGATGGACCTGAAAGTGATGGGGAGAATGGAACCAAGTGGGAAAACACACTTCAGGATATTATCCAGGAAAACTTCCCCAATCTAGCAAGACAGGCCAACATTCAAATTCAGGAAATACAGAGAACATCACAAAGATACTCCTCAAGAAGAGCAACCCCAAGACACATAATCATCAGATTCACCAAGGTTGAAGTGAATGAAAAAATGTTAAGCGCAGCCAGAGAGAAAGGTCGAGTTACTCACAAAGCAAAGTCCATCAGACTACTAGTGGATCTCTCTGCAGAAACCCTAAAAGCCAGAAGAGAGTAAGGGCCAGTATTCAACATTCTTACAGAAAAGAAGTTTCAACCCAGAATTTCATACACAGCCAAACTAAGTTTCATAAGTGAAGGAGAAATAAAATCCTTTACAGACAAGCTAATGCTGAGGGATTTTTGTTACCACCAGGCCTGCTTTAAATGAGTTTCTGAAGGAAGCATTAAATATGGAAAGGAAAAACTGGTACCAGCCACTACAAAAATGTACCAAAATGTAAAGACCATCAGTGCGATGAAGAAAACTGCATCAACTAATGGGCAAAATAACCAGCTAGCATCATAATGACAGGATCAAATTCACACACAACAATATTAACATTAAATGTAAATGGGCTAAATGCCTCAATTAAAAGATACAGACTGACAAATTGAATAAAGTGTCAAGACCCATCGGTGTGCTGTATTCAGGAGACCCATCTCACATGCAAAGACACATAGGCTCAAAATAAAGGGACGGAGGAATATTTACTAGACAAAAGGAAAGCAAAAAAAAAGCAGAGATTGCAATCCTAGTCTCTGATAAAACATATTTTAAGCCAACAAAGATCAAAAAAGACAAAGAAGGGCATTACATAATAGTAAAGGGATCAATGCAACAAGAAGAGCTAACTATTCTAAATATCTATGCATCCAATACAGGAGCACCCAGATTCATAAAGCAAATTCTTAGAGACCTACAAAGAGACTTAGACTCCCACACAATAATAGTGGGAGACTTTAATACCCCATTGTCAATATTAGACAGATCAATGAGACGGAAAATTAACAAGGATATTCAGGACTTGAACTCAGCTCTGGACCAAGTGAACCTAATAGATATCTACAGAGCTCTCCACCCCAAATCAATAGAATATACATTCTTCTCAGCACCACATAGCACTTATTCTAAAATTGACCACATAATTGGAAGTAAAATACTCCTTAGCAAATGTAAAGGAATGGAAATCATAACAAACAGTCTCTCAGACTACAGTGCAATCAAATTAGAACTCAGGCTTAAGAAACTCACTCAAAACTGCACAAAAACCTGCTCCTGAGTGACTACTGGGTAAATAAAGAAATCAAGGCAGAAATAAATAAGTTCATTGAAACCAATGAGGAGAAAGAGAACAGTGTACCAGAATCTCTGGGACACATTTAAAGCAGTGTGTAGAGGAAAATTTATAGCAATAAATGCCCACAGGAGAAATAGACACAATAAGAAATCATAAAGGGGATATTACCACTGATCCCACAGAAATACAAACTACCATCAGAGACTAACATAAATACTGGTACATGAATAAACTAGAAAATCTAGAAGAAATGG